>NW_003571033.2:0-96131 GCF_000001405.40 Homo sapiens | reverse complement strand
ATATAAACAGTCGCCAATTATGGGTTAAAATAATAACTTATTCATGGCAACTTACTCATACACAAGCACAAAGAACAAAATTTTGACAAGCACTTTCTCCCGAAGGCTTCCTTTTTCAACTGCTGGAATGATGTTGGATTTCTTCAGCAATACCCACTCAAGCTGAAAATGGTTAGAGAAAGCAGCCATTCCCAATGCAAGCTTCAGAACGATCAGAGAGGAAGTAGTGAGGAGAGGGGCAGCCACATTTCCACTTATCCAACTTTGCAGCATTTTCAGCACTTCTGAAAGAACGATGTTCAAACCGGGCCGGCTAAGACTAGTTGCTGCAGGTTCAAAAGCAAGCAGCTCGGAGGTGAATTTTATGACTTTTTGCATTTACACAGATGTATTTGAATGAACAAATTCTACACTGCTACTGTCAGATTGTTTTTCTGCCCCAAAGAAATTTGCTTTGCATTTTAACAGGTGCCATACTAAAAGGTATATTTTACAGATCCAAAGATGTGACCAGGATATTCAAAATGTGTCTTTGGGGTAATTTGTTTCGGAAAAGTGTTCAGAAGGAAAACTTTGAACCCTATAGCAGCACTTTTTGTTCCCTAAAAATATAAAACAATGTGTTTATTTTACAGGAAACCAGACAGTTGAGGCAGACCATGATCATCTGCCTCCACGGCACTTGGTTGTTCCCCTCTAGGGAATGGCACATTAGGGCGTACAGATGGGACAGTGCACTGCCCAGAGGAGGCTCCAGGAACCACCCAGAAACCACCCAACACCCCGGAGGCCGAGTCGGTGGTAATGGTTCTCAGTAGTAAGTGGATCTTCTGCAACCATCTCCTTCAGATTTCTCAAAAAGAGAAAAGTCCGAGCACACATCTGTACACACAGAAACTCTACACAGCTCAAAAGACCTGAAACTGGTGTACTGCAGATGGCTGGAGTAAGCAAGTATAAAAAAAAAATGGAAACTGTAGGGGGGGAAAAATAAAGGAATTGGTGATTAATGTAGTCCTTGACATGCTACGTGGAGTCATATCTGTTGAAAGAGAACCAAAGAGAGAACATAGGAATTAGAAAACACAGTAGAAATTTACTCCTCAAAAAAGTTTTGTTTAATTCTAGATGTTTAGACCAGAGCTGTCAGATACAAATATAACACAAGCCACATATTTTTTGTTTGTTTGTTTTTGAGATGGAGTTTCACTCTTGTCACCCAGGCTGGGGTGCAGTGGCGCGATATCGACTCACTGCAACCTCTGCCTCTCGGGTTCAAGTGATTCTTCTGCCTTAGCCTCCCAAGTAGCTGGGATTACAAGGGTTTGCCACCACACCCGGCTAATTTTTGTATTTTTAGTAGAGACGGTGTTTCACCATGTTGTCCAGGCTGGTCTCAAATTCCTGACCTCAGGTGATCCACCCACCTCGGCCTCCCAAAGTGCTGGGATTACAGGTATAAGCCACCGTGCCCGGCCAAGCCACATATTTAATTTTAAATTCTCTAGTGGCTACATTAAAAAGTGAAAAGAAATAGGTAAGATTAATTGTAATATATTTTATATAGCCTAAATAGTATTTCAACATGTAACTGGTATTACATGTTGAGATCGTTTACATTACAATATTACTACTGAGATTTTTTTTTTCACACAATAGTGTTTGCAATCTGGTGTATATTTTACACTTTCAGCCCATCTCAATTTGGACTTAGCCACATTTTGAGAGCTCAAAAGACACATGTGGATAGTGGCACATGAACAGCACAACCTCCGATTTCCTGATTTTGCTTTAAGTATTTAGTCCTGACAGTCTCAACATTCTCTTCCATAAGTCGGTATCTGTTGAGGCTATGGATATTCAGAGTAACATAATGCATTTTCTCATTCCTAGGGGGAAATTAAAACATTTCTCATTTGCCTGCACTTAGGATAGCAAGCAGGTGCAACAAGGCCCCTAACCCAGACTCTCTGTAGAAAGAGGTTCCCAGTTCCCAAAGGTATGCTTCGTCTCCATCGGATAATAAGATTCTCCAAAAGACCACCCCTGTCCATTTCATTCCACTTCCCACCAGAAGTTCGGCTGGTGCTGGGCGCATCTCCAGGATGAACGTCTAGACCAGCCTGAATGGCCTCTGTCAGCCTGCACCCAACATCAGTAAGCTCAACTTTCAGAAGACACTGAAAGGCTCTGTTTCCTGTCACCGGCTGGAGGCCCTAGCTCTGAGATCTTACTATAGGTTTTGTGCAGAGCTCATGGTACTCTAGGGGATGGGGACAGGGATGACAAGAGGGAGGTAGAGCCTTATCCTTAAGAAATACATGGAATTACCTGGTACTGGAAATACAACAGCCACTAAGAAAAGCCCAACTTCTCTTTTGATTAAAAAAAAAAAAAAAAAAAGCCCTCTGTAACCTGACACATTATGCATTATGCTTTCTGTTTTGCCTCTAGAAGGCTTATATCAACATTTGGTGCTCAACTGTGGTAATATCTCAGATTCCCGCTACCATGCTCTTTTTTTTCTTCACTCTTCTGATTTATATGTTATAATATTGTAAGCAACCTCACATATTTTGCATAAATCAGCAGGATGTAAGTTACATATAAATAGAAAAATTCTCAGTCTAGAAAGGGGTTATTAAAGCAGATACAAGCAAAGTGGGTGAAAAAGGGAGAAGAAATACGGAACAGAAACTGAATAGAAAAAAAAAAACAGAACAACACATTCTTTTTAAAAATACCACCTCTTGGCCAAGTGCAGTGGCTGATGCCTATAATCCCAGCACTTTGGTTTGGGAGGCCAACGCGGGTGGATCACTCGAGGTCAGGAGTTTGAAACCAGCCCAGCCAACATGGTGAAACCCCATCTCTACTAAAAATACAAAAATTAGCCCGGCATGGTGGCTTGTATGTGTAGTCCCAGCTACTTGGGAGGCTGAAACAGGAGAATCGCTTGAACCTGGGAAGCAGAGGTTGCAGTGAGCCGAGATCATGCTGCTGCACTCCAGCCTGGGTGACAGAGTGAGACTCAGTCTCAAAAAAACAAAAACAAAAACAAAACCACCTCTTCACTGACAAGAAAAAATATTCACAGAACTCATTTGGTATAATCACCCACAGTGGCAAAGCTACACAACTAAGAAGGGCTTAAACAACCCTAGAGGGTGATATTTCTGTCATTTTTAGAAGTCACAGAGAGTAAGATGTCTTTGGGAAGAACATGGCCTTTCTGGTGAAATTTTGGGCTTATTGCCAGAATTAGAAGTGAAAAACCTAAAAGCATGGTCATAGTTGTTATTTAAAATGCATTCTGAGCTGAAAACCAATAGGAGTGCCTGCCTGAATGCCACCACTGAAACTGCCATTTCACTTTCTCACAGGTTCATTTCTCCACGCACGCTATCCCCCTGGTCAGATAAGATCCCCTTGGTCGGATGAGATGGCCGTTCTGCGTGCCTGGAGGCAGAGAGGTGCCAGCACATACCTTGGATTGTGGGATTATGGCCTGACGCAATGTTTGCAGCCAAACCGTGTTGACACAGCAAGCACTAGACACAAATGCAATGGGGCGGCCTCAATAACTCCAGCAGACCATAAAGTGACACAATTTCCCCCTGGAAGGCCTCTCAGTCAAAGCCCCCGATCCCCGCTGGGCAAGATTCAGCAGGTTTTGGCTCATAGTTTGGAAGAAACACGGGGCCACAAAGGAGGCCCCACCTGCTTAGTTTAGTCACCTCAAGGAGAGTGAGAAAGGAGAGGAAAAGCACAGGAACTCTGCCAATGAAGGGTCCTTTCTTTACTAGGATGCAGCGTTCCTCTTCATCCCCAGTTAAGGATCTCTACAGGCCTGTCTGCTGAGAAGTCTTTCCAGCAGGCCCAAGAAACATGGATTCCAGCAGGATGCTCTCATCCATCCTTCCCACTATCTGGATCTTCATATCCTTAGATAAATTCATGGGAGAAAATAGATATAAATTTTAAAGGTAAATGGTTTTGCCCTGAGATAAAGCATTTCTGTCTGTTCTAATCCCAGAGAGACTGAGGAGTCTGGAGAATCTTTAAAACCCAGTCCTGTTGACTCTCTTCCAAGTAGCCACTCACTCACTTAGAGGCAGGGGACTGGACCAACTGACCTGCTCTAGGACTTCCCCTGGCACTCTGCCAAACTGGAGATGGTAATTCAAAGTGGCAACGTGTGACCAGATTTAGGAGGAAATAAAATCACCTTTCTTTAGAAGGGGTGGGGAAAGCTAATGAAGGAAGTTAATTATACAAGGGTTTTGCAAGAAGTATTTAGAGACCGTTTTCACACCCAACTTGGGCTTTTGCAATTGCTTGCAGTGGATTTAAGCTTAATCCAAACAGTACATAGTTTTAGTTTTTCTTTTGCCTTTTTATAATTCAATCCCCACATTATAAGAATTACCAATTGTACTCTACTTATCACTGCTGAATAGAAGTGGATTTATCTCATTGGAGCTTTGGTACAATCTGCTGTGGAGGAACAATTTTAGTTGCTCTGAATTTATGACTCTGAGAACCATGAAGCTGAGGAGTATTAAAGTGGAGGAGCCTACTGTGCTGTAGATGGAATCAGGAATTCTTGCCTCCGGGTGCTCCACAATTCCCTTCTTTGGGTTGAGATTGCCAGTTTCAAAGTCCTCTGCCATAGCAGCACCTACCTACAGTTATTTCTGTCCTCTCTCCCTGCAGTCCCACCTCAGCTGTCTTTTCAGGTCTGTCCCCATGACCACTTTAACATTAGCTAACATGCACGGGGGCCTAATTTTTGCCAGGTATTCTTCTAAGACTTTTTTCTCTCTTCTTTCACATTCTCTCATTCAATCCCAGACAAGCCTGTGATACGGGCACTATGATCCCAACTTCCCCATTCCACAGTTTTCTTAGCTGTCCAATGGCCAAGAATCTTGTCTGGTGTGACAAAGGGGGATTATCTTTATATACTTCAACCAAAACAGCACACCGCAACAGACAGAATGCAGAAACAGCTGGGGGAATCCAGCTGCCATCTATTAAATAACCAGGCATCAAAGAGATTTGCAAAAATGTAAAACAATGCCATTTGGCTATTTTTTGTTTTGAAAATAGTTATTTTCATTACAAATCACATTTGTGGTAACATGTATGGGCTTATTACTATTTTTTAAATGAACCCGGCAGTATTCTAAATATTTTGCTTTAATTTCTAATATGATACATATCAATAAATATAACCCATATATATATATATAAACTCATTGATCCTTTTTTGTTTGTTTTTTTGAGAAAGATTGTCATTCTGTCACCCAGACTAGAGTGCAGTGACACAAACATGGCTCACCACAGCCTCAAATTACTGGGCTCAATTTCCCACCTCAGCCTCCCAAGTGGTTGGGACTACAGGCGTAAGCTGCCATACCTAGCTAATTTTTAATTTATTTTATTTTATTATTATTATTATTGAGACAGAGTCTCGCTAAGGCTGGTTTCAAACGCCTGGCCTCAAGTGATCCTCCTGCCTTGGCCTCCCAAAGTGCTGGGATTATAGGCGTGAGCCACCATACCCAGTCTATTGATCCTTTTTAAGAGGAGAAAAGGTCCTAAGGCCAAGAACTTTGAGAACTGTTGCAGAGAAGATCATCGCTCTTAGCCCAGGATCTACCACTCATAGTTATGGGATCTTGACAGCTCATCCCGCCTCTTTGGGATGTAGAATGAGGAGACAGGATCAGGTGATGAGGACAACACAGATGAGCACGGAGTGCTTGTTCAGTGCCAGGCACTAGGCTAATCTTCATGTATTTGTTTTTATTTGTTTATTTATTTTTGAGGTAGAATCTCACTCTGTCACCCAGGCTAGAGTGTGGTGGCATGATCACAGCTCACTGCAGCCTCAAACTCTCCAGCTGAAATGATCCTCCCAGCTCACCCTTCCAAGTCACTGGAGCTACAGGCATGCACTACCACACCTGGCTAATTTTTTTATTTTTAGTAAAGACAAGGTCTTGCTAAGTTGTCCAGGCTTGTCTCAAACTCCTGAGCTCAAGCCATCCTGCTGCCTCAGCCTCTCAGAGTGCTGGGAGTACAGGAGTGAAAGAATTGAGTCACACCACGACACACAAAAAACAGGCATCCCAAACTCTACAAGAAGCAACGCACTCCGGGGTCGCATTGCACCTAGCTCTTTATTTTCAGAAAAAGCCCTTCTTTCATTAAATTATGTGAAGTTTGGTGGTTTGGACTTTTTATTTGTGGTTTTATTTCGATTTAATTTCTAAATTTGTTTTGACTTGACAGTTGTATAAGATCTGTAAGTAGGGAATGTATACTGTTTACAATGTGCAAATTGTATTATAATAAAATAATTTAAATCAACTCTGGGGATCTGTGAGAATTGTATTCCTTTCAAAATACTCTATTTACTACTCAAGTTTGAGATAAAATGGTCTAAATATAGGAAAACCAAGAAAAAAGACCATTCTGCCTTCCGTCTTTCAGAAAACATCTAAGGTTTCAGCAATGCCCTACTGGCGCCATCTGGTGGAGACATTTGAACAAGTCCCCTGGCTTGCCAAAGCACTGCCTGGAAAGGAAGTGGATCTCCAGGGCTCTCAAAACGAGGGAGCTGGGCAGATGTTTAATCAGGTGTCTACATTAAGTGTGGGGCTGCAAAGAAGACTCAGCACTGCCTGAGAGGTTGATTTTACACCGTCTCTGGTCTCAAGAGCGAGACCCTGCTTCCTCCCTCTCTCTCAGCTGATCATCTGGCTTCTTGCCTGCACGAGAAAACAAGCTCTAAGGTGACCTGGATCTTGCCTCCCAATGCACCCCATCTACCGCCCACCCACAGCTGTGCTTCCTCCTCTGCCCAGCTCAGCTATACCATCACCATCGCACACAACTATGCTGTAATATCTCCCATCTTACAACAGAAAAGCAACGCAGCCCCACCTTACCACCACATCGCTCCATTTCTCTGATCTCCTTCAAATAAAACCCCCAAAGTGGGTTCAGCTGCCGGCTCTATTTCCTCACCTAGTCTGTCTAGTCCATGCTAAGGTCACTGCCACCTGGCCTTCTTCAACCACCCAGTCTCTGTCATCATCTTACTCAAGCTCTGAGCTGACCACCTTCCTTCTAGGGTCAAGGTCTTCACTTGACCTCTGTGCCCCCACATGATCCTCAGGCCCCTCTGCTGGTGCCACCTCTTTTCTCTGGCCTTCCCATTTTCCAGTGCCTGGGCCTGGTCCAACTCGCCCCTCAGCTCCCCTCTCTGCTGTGCCCACCTTTTCTCTAGGTTGCCTCCTTCAGACCTGTGGCCATAAACACAATCTACAAGTCACAACTCTCCAGCCCTGGCCTCACCTCAGCCTCTCTCCTGTGCTCCAGACCCACGGATCCAGCCACCTGTTCCACACACCCACTTGCGTGGTGGGCTCAGCTGGATGTCTGAGAGGCAGCACATAAGCAACATGATGGAAACCAAGCTTTCCCACAAAACCTGCTCATCCCCCGATTTTCCCTGGCATGGTTAAAAAGGGACCAATGTTTCCCTAACTGCTAGAGCCCACAAAAATCTAGGAACTACCTTGATTCCCTTCCTTCCTCCTCTTCTTGCTCTCAACCCTCATCAGTAAGCCTGACAGCTGAATCAGCTCTAAGCAGGCACTGACTCAGGCCACTTCTCCCCTGCTGCCACCACCTGGGTCTGGTACCGGACCCTCCCCCATGGCCACCTACAGTGACGCCCTAGGCAACCCCCAGTGCTTACCCCATTCCTACCCCTTCTTCAGGGTCCAGCCCAGAGTGGCCTTGTCTAATCATGAACCAGCTCCCACTGCTTCCACGCCCACAGCCCCAGTGGCCCCTCACACTAGGCTACAATCTAAGTTGCCCACAGCTTCAACACCTTCATTTACTTGGGCTCAACTCCCTCCCCATCCACTCTAATGAAGATGGGTTCTCCCAGATCCATGAGCTACTGCCTTATCAGCCTTGGTAACATTCCTCAAATAACCCTCATTCATTCCTACCTTTGAGTGATCATCGAACCACTTTCTCCCAGGTTGCTGTGTGCCTGGCATTTTTCATCACTCAGTTCTCAACTTAAATGTCACCCCCTCTTCTAAAACAGTGTTCCTATTCCATTAGCCTGTTTTTGTTTTCTTCTGAGCACTTACCACTACTTGAAGTTACCTTATTTTCTGTCCATCTTCCCCTAACAAGCATATCACTGGACAAGAACACAGCCTTCTTGTCTGATTCACTGTGAAACCAAGTACAGAGCTAGGCTCTCAATGCCTGATCCCACTTAGCCGGTAGGAAACCTAAAGCTGACAGAAATCAAGTAACTTGCCCAATGTCACATGGTTGCACTGCACTGCCCCATATGTAGCTCTGGGGTTTGAAAAAGATCATCTCCTCCTGAGGCAGCCCCCTGTGGATTTGAACCAGATAAGATCAAAGCCAGCATTATCCTGGGTTCTTTTGATTTTTGTATATTGGCATCTTCATAGGCTCTGAAACCTTGAGAATAAACCAAAATACTCATTATGGCTATAATTCTTGAACCCTGAAATGAAGCAGAAGGAAATTCCAAAGATATCCAGCTGTAAGAATATGTGCTTTGACTCCACAGGAGGGCTGGGAAGACACAATTGAGATCATTTCTACCCAGGGAAGAGATACTTCAGAATGAAAATCCCAAAGGTCAGGAAAGACTGTCTCAAAAAGGCTTTGCTCTCATCTAAGCAATGAATTCCATATTTTCAATTACTTTTCAAAAAGGATTTAGCATTTCTTTACTTTTCAATTGCAATTCCTGAATCTGTTGATTACTACCCCTTTTTAATCTCCACTGACAAATGCCCAGTCATTTCTTAAAAATAGTCATAGCTTGTAGATAAGTAAATTATATATATATGTTTTTTAGATAGGCTCTCACTTTGTCACCTAGGCTGGAGTGCAGTGGCACAATCTCGGCTCACTGCAACCTCTGCCTCCTGGGTTCAAGCAATTCTCCACTTCAACCTCCCAAGTAGCTAGGGTTACAGGTGTGCATGTCTACGCCCAGCTAATTTTTCTATTTTTAGTAGGGAAGGATGTTTCACCATGTTGGCCAGGCTGGTCTTGAACTCCTGACCTAAAGTGATCTGCCCACCTCAGCTTCCCAAAGTGCTGGGATTACAGGCATGACCCGCCATGCCCGGCCAATATTATCTTTAAAAGCCCTTATGTCAGTTCATAGCAACAACTAGGATACTCAGTTAGAAATAGGCCTTCCCTATCCAGTCGCCAGGATTTATTGCTATAGAGGAACTAAAAACCATTTAGTAACAACTATATGAATTAAAGGACACTATAAACCAACATGTATCAACTACCACCTTCTGCAGTGCTCATCTATACTAGCAGCTAACATTTTTATTGAGCAATTGTTATGGGCTTAGAAGCATGACCTCATTTAAGCCTTCTGTCAATGCCAATGACCAACATAAAAGATTTTCCCCATTTCATATATGAGGAAACAGACCTGAGTTTAAGTAACTTGAAGGAAGTGGAAGACCTAACACCTGAACCCAGGTCCCTTGTCCAATGCCAGTCCCCTCAGCCACACTGCCATCCTGAGAGCTGTAAGAGGGGGCCTGTTTATTTTGTAACCTGGTGAGAGAAGCACCTAGTTACAGAAGCTGTGTCTGAAGCTGTGTGGAGAAGGTATGTCAAGGAGGCTCTGAATTCAGATAAAACCATCAAAACCACTTGTAACACTTTGAGTAAAGAAACAAATTGCCAGCTGGGTGCAGTAGCTCACGCTTGTAATCCCAGCACTTTGGGAAGCTGAGGTGGGGGGAATCACTTGAAGTTAGGAGTTCAAGACCAGCCTGGCCAACATGGTGAAACCCTGTCTCTACTAAAAATACAAAAACTAGCTGGGCATGGTGGCACATGCCTGTAATCCCAGCTACTCGGGAGGCTGAGGCAGGAGAATCGTTTGAACCCAGGAGGCAGAGGATGCAGTGAGCCAAGATCATGCCATTGCACTCCAGCCTGGGCAACAAGAGTGAAACTCCATCTCGAAAAGATGATGATGGGTTGATGGGTGCAGCAAACCATCATGGCACATGTATACTTATGTGACAAACCTGGACATTGAGCACATGTATCCCAGAACTTAAAGTAAAATTAAAAAAAAATGCCACAATGGGTGAGGGTGGTTCTTTCACTCCGAAGGTCTTGAAAGTCTCCCCAGACCTACTGATTTTCACTCTTCTGTATGAGAAGAGGCTACACTGGTGATGAATGGCCAGCATTTGGTTGTTTGGAGCCTACATAAAATATGGGACTGGCAGACCTTTGTTGGAACCCATGAAGAAGGTGACTGTCCCACTGCACAATCTCTGGACCCCAGAATCCCTGGACCAGTATATTTAGTAAGGCCTTGCTGGGAAACACACATACACCTCTATGTGTGCTTTCATCAAATGAGGTGATGCCTATATTACATCTAGCCCAGTGCTGCAGCATATTAGGTGGTCCATAATGCACAGTATGCCAGCTGCCCACCTCAACATCCACTCTCCCTGTCCTTGCTCTAAAAGCATTACCTTTCTTTGGGGTAGTGATGTGCCCAGCTAAAAGACTACCTTTTCCAGCTAGATGTGGCCATGTGGCTCAGTGCTGTCCAGGGAAAGGGAGGCATCAGCATTGCATGGGGCTTCAGGAAGGCTACTTAAAGGAGATTCATTCAGGACGGCTGCTTTTGCCTCTTCTCTGCTTCCTCTCTGGTTGCTAAAGTTGGAATGTAGGCATGATGGCTGAAACTGAAGTCATTTGGTGACCTTGAGCTGGCCTTGAGTTCAGGAGGCAGGCACGTGCTTAACCTAGTTAAGAGGCTAGGTTTCTGTTTTCACTGTGGAGATTCTTAACTACTGATGTACCACCTTCAAATTTCCCTTACATAAGACAGACGTAAACCGCCATCCTGTATAAACCATGGAGAGTTTTCAAACTTCGATGAATATCAGAATCACCTGGAGTACTTGGTTAAAAAGACAAACAAAGCCCAGGCCCTTCCTCTTCTAAGGAGCCTGGGCCTCTGGGTGCTCAAGGATGCTCACATCCACCAAAGTTCGATGACCACTGCTTCAGGCTTTTCTGTTCTAAGCTGCCCAGCTGGATCTTAGAGTTCCCTTCAGGTATCAGCCTCGATACTGACAATATGTAGTCAAAAGCAACTTTCTAACTTCCAGTTTCATTCTATTTCTGATTGGAAGCAGAGATTAGATAGGAATGGGGTGGCCCACCGCCAAGACCATTTCCCATTTTCCTGTCTAGAAGATGGCAGATGATGGCAGGCACACTGCCCGCCCGCGGGCTGCCTCCGCCTTCCCTCCTGTTCCCACTACTCTGACCAGCCCCTGGCCTGCTCGTTGGCACTGCCTGGGGCAGCACAGGTAAAAGTTGTGTGGGGGCAACTACCAAAGCATTTCCCTTGGAAGTTTTAGCCTATGCCTGGGCGATGCCGGGACCCTGAGTGATGGCTCCAGCCCCTCCTGCTCACCTTCTTGCCTTGATGCAGAAAGGACTGGATGAGGAGGGGTCCAGGCTTCACACCTTGCATGCTTGCCTGCCTTGGGAGCCAGCTACCCTAGCAAGGGCTTAGAGTCCAAGGACAATGTTCAGAGCCACCTCTTCCCATCTGCATGTTCAAAGTCAGAGTTTATCTAAACAAAGTTTTCTGGTCACCTAGTCATCTGTCTGCCCGCCCAACTAGTAACCTCTTTTCTCCATTTCCATCAGGATGACAGTTTTCGCTCTCTGCTTCTTCTCTTTTGGAAAGAATATCACTCGTTCCTTTTCTTTTTGCTGGGAGAGAAATGTCGTGCACATGGGTTGTGGGTAGAGAAGCTTGCAGACCACCATCTCAAAGAAAAAAGCATCCTGGACTCATCTAGATATCTTCTTAAAATCCCCACTTGTTGAGTTCAGATAGTAAACATAAAAACATCACTTTCTATTATCTGGCTCTTTCTTTATATTCTGTTCCTGAGACTTAAAGCAACCCCCAACTTCTGTCTGCTGTGGGTAAAGCAGTTGACAAACAGGTAATGCCCTTTGGGATGCCAATTAAAGAGGGGAGTCCCACAGGCAAAACAAAGCTCGGCTGAATCACTCACCACCCCTACCCCTGGAGGGGATTAGGCCGGGCCTGGCTCCAGGTCCCATGGGCCCCAGACAGCCTCAGCTAGAAGACCCCAGGGCTCTGGACTAAGTGAGGACAGGTCTGGGTCTCTGTTTACCTGGAACCCCCAGGGTGTGTGCTGGAGTAGAGCAGAACTCCTCTCTACTCAAGGTCCACTGCCAGGCAGGGGCTTTGGAAAGGCAAGAAGCCTCTGCCTCCAGATAGAGAAACCACCCTTGACATGGGACTCACTTTGTATTTATTTCTGGTAGTGAGTGGAATTTGAAGAGCTGCCTCCTCCCCCTCGAATGGCATGGACGGCCGTTGGAGATGAGGCCGGGTAGTGTCCGGGGCGGATGGGCTTGGCTGTATCCAACCAACAGAAAGAAGAGAGAACAGACATTTAGAAAAGTCTTAACAGCAACCCTGATATCTACAGGTCACCTGTGACAACTAAAAGTCACAATTCTTACCAACAGTACAATTCTTATCAACCACCAGATCTCTCTGAAAATGGGAAAACTATCAGTATACTTAGCAAATCCAAGGCATCCAAATATTTAGGGGACAGAAAGAACTTAAACATCAATTAGCTCATTTCTAATTTGGGCCAAGAAAAGTTAGAAAAAAAGATTTTCAGTTTCATCTGAAATGGATCGTAGGTTCCCCATGACTTTCAAGGATATCTGTGTAGCCCCTGAAATTGGATGCAGAATTCTGCCTGTGATGCTGTTTTCTGGGGAGAGGGTCCATAGCTTTTAATAGATTCTCAAAGGGTATGAAATCCTACACATGCAATGAACCACTATTCTAAGGTATGATTTAAAACTAGAAACGTGAAACTGCTGGTTTGCAATACATCTACACAGCAATATCTGATGGGAAATAAATTACATGTTATTGGAGATGTTTCAATTTAAAAAAAAAAAAAAGGAGAAGAAGCTGTTTAGAGAATATTCCTAAATTGTTTTTGTCCCTATGGCTATCCTGGGAACCAGGACTCTGGCTACACCCTCATTTCCTACATGGGCAAAATGCCCAAATCCATACAGGTCTTGAAGAGGCTGAGACTCCAGACCTCCCCAGGTTCTGTGCCAGCCTGTAGCCACACCCTGTCATGGATGCCAGCCTGGCTCTTCCAGGGGTATTTCCAAACCTGCACTTGGAGGCTTTCCCTGGGGCTCTGGCTACATATGGGCTCCTTCATGCTCCCACCGGGTGCAGAACACAGGGCCCTTCACACCTTGCAGAGAAATATCCTCCTATTCCAGTATTTCTAAGAGTGTACCCATTTATAGCCCAAGACCTAGGCCTACAGCCTTGGCTGGCTTCTCTCTGCCCAGCTCAGAAGTTTTGAGACCACGATGTATGCTGGAATATCTCAGAGTAGGATAACGGGGGCGCCTGACATTCCCATTCCCACAGGGTGAGCACAGGGTGCGGTGAGGGCTGCGTCCTGCGGGCTCCAACCCAGCCTTTCAGATGTTCCAGAGTGGGCCAGCGCTGTCTTCACCTTTTAGCAAATCTGAGCTGAGAGGCCGCAGTAGCTTCTCAAACCCCGGGCGCCACTGTGCACGCACGTACCGATCTGGGCTGAATGGGCCCTTCTGGCCATGTTCTTGGCCCGCACGGCCTCCTTGATACGATCCACCTCCTGCTGGTAGCGCTTACGGTCCCGCATGGCGTTCTCCTTGGCCTCCTTCAGCGCGCTCTCCAGAGCCTTGACGCGCTCCGCCGTGGCACGCAGCCGCTTCTCCAGCTTGGGCAGTTCACAGCGCAGGTCTGCGTTGTCCCGGACCAGCTGGGGCAGGAGGATAAAGGAAGGGAGTTACTACCAGGCAGGCAGCATTGCACAAACCAGAGCAGCCAGAAGCAGCCCCTGCTGCTGAACAGGTGGCCCCTGCTAGGTTGTCCTTGGCACTCCGTACAACCACAGAAAGGAAAGGAAAACTCAGACTGTGGGGTCCAGGTTCCTGAACACGTGATTCACAGGGTGCAAGGAACGGTGGGGTGGGGATACAATTAAAACCTATTTCCCACCACAAGAAACTTTCCATCTGAGGCAGGATTTACCTCCTCTTCTGTTTGGGTGTGTGTAGAGGAAAGGGGGATTGTGTGAGAAAATCGACCACATATGAGAATACTAAATTAGCATGAGAAAGCTGAAACACTTAAAGTCGGTTTGAAAGGACTCAGTGAAAAACAAGCATGTTCCTGAGCTCTCAGAGGGCTTCCTTCCATGCAGAACCTGCTGTTTACACTGGCATGGGGTTTGGACCCAGCTTTGCAACACATCCAGAGGCTAAGGTAAGAGGAGGAGACTGCGCCTTTTTGCTGATTGAAGAAGCAACAGCCCAGCCCTAGGTAGGAGTGGGCTCAAGGGCCAGCTCTTTATGTCCTGGCCATCTGACTTGGTGTAAGTCATTTGACCACCACAAGTCTCAAGTTTCTCATCTATAACACAAGTGTACTACATAATAGGGGACCCAGATGGATGGAGGGAGTTTTGAAAATCACAAAGTGCTACACCAAAGTGAGCTACTGCTGGGTCTCCTGCTTTGTTCTCCTAGCACCAGCTCTAGTGCCTGGCAGAGAGTACATTTTTAATAAATGCTCGTTCAATCCATGAATAAGATAATGCATTTCAGCTGGGTGCAGTGGCTCACGTCTGTAATTCCAGCACTTTGGGAGGTCAAGGTGGGCGGATCACGAGGTCAGTGGTTCAAGACCAGCCTGACCAACATGGTGAAACCTTGTCTCTACTAAAAATACAAAAAAATTAGCCAGGAGTGGTGGCGCGCACCTGTAATCCCAGCTACTCGGGAGGCTGAGGCAGGAGAATCTCTTGAACCCAGGAGGCAGAGGTTGCACTGAGCAGAGATCGCACCACTGCACTCCAGCCTGGGCGACAGAGCAAGACTCTGCCTCAAAAAAAAAAAAAAAACATTAAAAAAAACAAAAATAAATAAAAATAAATTTTAAAAATGCATCTCAGAGCCCTATTTCAAGCTCCCTGACAGTTTCTGCTTTCGTATTTCTCATCGACAATTTGTTTGAGTGACTTCAACTATCTAGAATCTATCATCCTCTCTCTGGGGAAAAAATGCCATCATCAGTAATATTGAAGAAGACTTAACAAGTCAAAGAGAAATGACATCTCCTCGGCCATGTGGTCTAAAAACTTGGGCCGTTTCCATCATATCCCAATTCCTAAAGAGGGAAAACAGCCATGCACACACCAACATTTAAAAAGAAAGTATCCAAGACAAATGACCTGCTGAAATCACTGGTGAGTTTGGACACAGTTATCACTCTCTGTCACTCTAGACAAATGCCAGCACATCGCAGGCATCCGAGAGAGCATCTGAGATCGCTAGGAATGGGCAGCTGAGCAGAGAGGGTGCTGGTTCCAGTCCCGGTCCTCCCACGGTGCAATGAAGCAAGGCACCAGTCTGTTTCCCCATCTGTAAAAATAAAGGACTTGAACCAGCTCAGTGGTGTCCACTTTCAGGTCCACAGAGGTACCTCAGAGGTGTCATGGGAGACACAGAGGCTAGATGGTGTCCAAAGTCAGGGGTGGAGGCAGGATGAAAAGACAGGCCTCTGAACACTTCCCTCTCCAACCCCAGAGAGCTCAAACCCTATGCGTTATATTTGGCTTTGATAAAAGAAAGTCCTTTATATATACGGGAAGTCACTGAGAACTAAAGGATTTGTAAGGACCTTTCCAGCCCTCATGTCCTCTGATAGTGTACAGTTCTTTTACCTTCAATCTCAGTGCCTTCTCCGCACACTGTGGCCAAACCTGGTGGGGCTTCTTTCCAGGAGAGAGGAGGGAATCAGAGGGGAGCGGGCAGAACTCTCCTACCTGCTTGTGAACTTTGGTGAGCTGCTCCAGGTTATTCTCCAAGAAGGAAATTTTCTGCTTCTGGGCAGCACTGCCCCCTCCATCATCGTTGTCCAACTCCACACTCTGCATTGACACCAAGGGGTCAGCAGGACAGGCTGTCACCCACCCACCCTCCGCCCCAGGATAATGTGGATGGAAAAAAAAAATCCCCATTCCCACCAAAGGGTATTCTGAAAGTGAAAATAGAGGTTCTAAAAGTTTAGACTCAAGAAATCCCCCAATTAATTTCCCTTATTAGTATGAAAAGCGATTTGAGGAGCTAATTTTTAGAGAGCTAAAAAAAAAAAACTCCTTCAAATCTGCTTTTGAAAGTTGTAGATGATTTATCTTCAGTAAAATATACATCTGCCTTTCATGTAGTAAATAGAGACTTCTTTTCAAAAGAAAGCATTCCAAAACTCATTAAGAAACAACAACTGCAAAAACATAAACCCAGGACCTAAATTTGATTTCAGCCATCATGGTGGGACAACAAGTCACCAAACTTGTAAGCAAGTGTCTATGGTCCCACTGGGAAGTCTTAATGGCCTCTGCTTGTCCCTTCAGCTTCCAAATCTATAAAATTAATTAATGAACCAGGCTCAAATTAATCATAGCATCCGGGTGCTGGGTAAATTCTTGAAATTTATCAGATCTTGAAATTGGCAAAACACTGCACTCCTGGCAAGCCGAGTGGCACAGATAAATTGGAAAGTACAGGTCCTAACACATCCCAGTGTTCCAAGGTGGAAAAGCAGGTTTGCTCTGTCTGATTATAGAAGAGATCATCATCCTTTTTCTCAAAGGTAATGGCTACATGAGCATCTCAAACCTGCAGCTCTTCAGTCTAAAACTGAGCTCCCCAAATTTGAGCCTTAGCACTGGGCTCTCCAGGGGAGGGTTTGTTGAGACTTAGATTGCCACGCCCCATCCCTAGTCTCTGATTCAGTGGACCTGGGGTGGGGTATGAGAATTTGCATATCTAAACAGTTTCCTAGGTGATGCTGAGGCTGATGGCCAGAGAACCACCGGCAGAAAAACACTGGTCTAAAAGCAGGGCTTTCCTAGGGAGTTTTCTATCATGAAATCTGGAAGTCTGATCTCAAGCTCCTAACCCTCCCTAGGACCACAGCCTCCCATGTATGGTCATGGCTTCCACCTCCTTCCTCGGACTGAACCTTTTCAGTCCATGTCATAACCTCTGGCCAGGTGCCCTCCCCTCTCTAGCCTCCCTGTCCATCACCTTTGCTCTGGCTTCACTCTCCTGCCAGGGCCAGGCCCCCATGGTCATTTGTGTTTTGGTCTGTGCTTACTACCTAATCGCCTAGCCATTGCCATGCAGGCCTTGAAATTGCCCATCATTTTCTGCCTTCTTTATTTTCATTTCCAGGATTCGAAACTCACTTAAACCATGCTGTCAGGGGCCACGCCAAGCCCATGCTTCTAACTCAACACCAACACCACTGCTCAGCAATCCTTCTACTCTTCCATAGCACATCCCCTACCTTGGCAGCCTGAACCATGTCTAGTCTCCTTGGGTTTCCCATTCTCTTCCCTACTTCCCCACCAAGGACTGAGCCTTCACATAAACCAAGAAGACCCAAGTCATCAAATGTGACTTCTTTCCACCCGCATGTATTTCCCTGCCGATCCTTCCAACTTGACTTCTCCACTCCTCCCTTCTAGGAATTTGTGTCCCTCCTCCTTAGCAAGCCTATCTAATACATCCATCTACACTATTAACCCTCTCCCTCTCAGACCCGACTCTATCTTTGTAAGACATTTGACCTCTTTCCCTTGGCTCCTTCACACTGACACACATTCACACACACACGTACACACACTCAAATATGCACACACATTTACACACATATGCACCCACTTTTCTTAAACAGACTCCTTCCTTAAACCTCTGCAAGCTGTTTGGGGGAGTCACCATTATGGAGTGTCTCCAGACTGCTGCTGTAGCACGAGGATGGAAGAAGCTCAGATCCAGAGACCCCGCAGGCCTGGGTTCCAGACCTATCTCTGGCTCTTCCCACCAGTGCAATATTGGGTAAGTTATTTAACATCTGAGCCTATCTCCACATCTGCAGAAACAGGAACACTAAGCACCACTTACATGGTTGCTGGGAAAAGCAAATAAAATACTGGATGTTGACGTGCTTTATAAACTCTGACCTAGCCCCTAATGGCCTTTTAACAAACAAATAAGAGGCTCTCTCTGTCCGACTTCTCCAGGCTTCTGGGCAATGCTTTCTGAAATGACTGCTCTAAATGTTTCTGTGTCAAGAGCAGTTGCCCTCACACAGTGGGGGCCAGAAAAATATGCGTTCATTTGAAATGAAGGCCAGAGAAAGTATTCTGACTTCCTTTTACCAAGAAGGAAAAATCAGATGGGAAAATGTTACCAAGTATTTTTTGCCTCCAGCACATTCTTTTAATAACATTCTCTGGTGTGCAGTAATTAATTTTTAAGCATAACCAGCCCCGACTTAAGCAAGTGATATTTCAACTGAAAATGATTCTTCCCTGCCATCTTTGATTTTCTTCTCAGTCCCATTCAGACAAAGAGAACTCACTTTTTTAACTCGGGTGGTCAGATCCTGGACAAAGAGTTTCCGAAGGTTGTGCAGTGTCTGCAATTCTCTAGACTGGAAGAGATTTTTAAAGGCCACTTAAGTGCAGCAATTCACTGAATTTATGACACATTTGGCACCAGATCATTCCCCCGACACTTCCCAAGCCTGCCATGGACGCCGCTGGTGCACCCCCTTCCCTGTGACACCCCCACCCTGACCATGCCCACCCCTGGACCTAGTGTCATTACTGGAGCACCTTGAGGTGCAGAGCCTGAGAACCCAGACCACAAATTGTAAACCAGAACAAAGCCTGCCCATCTGCTCACAGTGGAACCACACATTTCCTCACCCACAAAAATTCAAAGGTTTCCTCACAAAAATTCCTACTGGGCTATGTTGTATCAGGGTGAATTCCTTTTTTCTTTTTTTTATTATGTAAATGTTACAATGTAATACCAACAAGCTGAAATGAAAAGTTAGCCACAATATCTCACCGTAACTGACTCACATTTTTCCTGTCTCCACACCTGCTTCAGACGCAAGTCCACACACTTGCTTGTTTTAAGTCACTGAGCTTACGGATGAGGCATTTCATGGACTTTCCTCCTGGGTGGCCCTGGGCAAGTTATCTAACCTTTCTGTGCCTCAGTTTTCTTATTGGTAACATGAGAATAAAAACAGTGGTTGCCTTATCATTGCTGTCAAGATCAAATGAGATGAACCTTATAATGTTCTTAGAACATTTTCTGGCACATATTAAGTGCCCAATAAAGATGACTAGTATGAATTTATTGATGCATATTTCATAACATAAAAGCCATTTTTTCATTAGGATTGTATTGCTTCCTTTTATTGTTGTTGTTAAAACTTTCACTGTCATCTTGGGGGCATTTTTTCCCTTCATTTTGGATTATTTTCTACAAATGAAACCTTAGGAATTAGATTACTGAGACAAGAGCCTGAGCCAAATCTGGTGATCTTTGTTAACAAGATCAGAAGATCAAACATTTCTGTCTGCTCAAGTCTCCATGTATTTACCATAGGAAATATGATCAGTTCCTTGCAAAATATTTTCCTATAGAGGAAGAGGAGAGAGCTAAATTCTGCATGCAAACTTTGTCTAAATTGACCTACTTTAACACAGAATTTCAAGGGATGCAACTCACACACGCTCACATCTAAAAGGAAGAAACAGACTATAAAGCTACGGAAACACTAAGTTTCTTGCAATAAAGGTTCTCTGTTAATTTAAGGTCTTATTACTGGGTCCAATTCTGTGTTGAAATAAGAAGCACCTGAAGTCAATTGTGTCCTCGGATGAGGTAAATTACTTTCTGCAGGAAACCAAATGGATCTGTGATTATGAATAATGTGCACACAGGACCTGTTTGAGGCTGTGCTGCCTTCCAGCCCAGGGGCAGGGGTGCAGCACTCACTCTGTTACAGACACACTGTCCCAGGCCCTGCCGGAGGGAGCTCAGCCCAGATACCCTGCTCCTTAACACCTGCGCCCACCCTGCATGCACTCTCTCTGTTTCTTGTCAGTGGTTTCATTACTGATTGAACCGTAATCACAGTTTACATTTTTCATAAAAACACCACCACACCAAAGGGGAATGAGAACAGTTCTTTGTCCAAGGCCCAGGCATCTCCTGGGGTGTAAATACTAAATATAGAGTCCTGAGTTTGGCAACTTTCTCTCATTTTGTTTGTTTTTAGGGAGATTCAACAATAAACAGTTTGGGAAGGGTAGTATAAATCATTTAAAATCACTTGTCCCTTTTATTTATGCACACTGTGCTTAGGCAACTATCATTCAGCCTCCTGTGGCAATGCTTTCTCCTCCATCACATTCATTATCATCCCTCTGCCTCCCCACACATGTCCCTCTTCACATCACAGGTTGTGACTCTCCATGCCAAAGCTCAAGGCTCAGCTTCCTGTCACAGTGGACAGCAAGGGTGGGACCAGCAAGGAGGGAATACAAGTCTCATCAACGCACCCAGAGGAGGGCTCCCGCCCCAAAGCCCAGACAGTGTCCTGTTCCAGCCAGTCAGCTGCCCGGGGCCAGGGATGCCCCGACGGCCAGTTGGCCTTTTCCACCACTGTCTCCTGCAGCGGGCTTCCCGGGCATTCACCCCCTGGCCAGCAGGCTCCATGCTCCGCCCACCTCACCCAAACACTCCAGGAGGCAGAACGGGCCCTGCGCTGAGGAGGGCGGCAGAACAGTCAGCCAAGGACAGTGCGTCTATTTCTGAAGAACATTTACGGCTCGGGGAGGATTCCAAGGCTGAGTGAAAACATCCGAGTCTAAAACGGCATACACTGCAGGGCTCCACTCTTGGATTTTTAAAGTGTGCATTTGATGCGTGTGGGTGGTGAGAGTGAGGGAGAGAATGTGGGTGCCACGAAGCCAGTGTGTCTGTCCGCGTGCATGGGCTGGGCGAGGGTGAGAGCGGGGAGCAGCCTGGGAGGGTGCGCATGGAACCGCGCCCAGCGTGGGAGAGAGAACGGACGAGCAGGGAGACGGGAGGAGCTAGTGAGGAAAATACGTCATTCAAAAGACGCAAAAGACCACTCGAACTTCAAAAAAGGCAAAAGAGCTGATGAAACATTCTTTAAATATCACACTCCTGAGTGTATGAGAGGAGAAAGCATGTGAGTCCGTGAGCATGGAAATGAGTGTGCCTGTGAACGGAGGTGGTTGTGACAGTGAATGAGTGTATGAGTGACGGGTGTGAATGCGCCTGCGTGCGTGTGAGGGGGAGTGTCCTGAGACAGCATCTGTGTAAGTGTACAAGGGAGTGTGAACATGCGTGTGGGTGTGAGTGAAGGCAAGCAAGGGGAGTGAGGGTGAGAACTGCACGAGAGTGATTGTGTGAATGTGCGAGTGAGAAAGTGTGGACGATCATTAGTGTGCATGCAAGTTGTGTGTGTGAATGCAAGTGTGCATGTTCTGTGTGTGAGCAAGAGTGTGTGTTGTAAGTACTTGTGTATGGAGGAGCATGCAGGAGTGAGTGCGGCTGCGCAGAGGCATGAGAACAGGAGAGTGAGCAGCTGACTGCGTGTGTGGGCAAGGGACTTGTGAGCCCCGGTGTGAGTGTGTGATGATGTGCTCACATGCTTGAGTTGTAGGTGTGAGTGAGACTGAAAGAGAGCGTGGATGGCTAGGGACAGTAGGGTGAGAGTGCCTGAGAGCTCACGGATATAAAGGAAGAAAACATCCCAAAATATTTCATTGATATCACTGATCTCTGGCTGGTAGAAATATAGTGAAATTTTAATGTTCAATATTTTTCTGAATTTCTATAATTATCTATAATTAGGATTATCACTTCTCTGGTAAAACAGATGTAGATGAAGCAATTTCATGGCTTCATTTCGGGTTCCCCGGCAGCAGCCCCCTCCACAGGCTCCTCCTCCATGCTCCAAAGGCCCAGCTCCCTTTGGACACAGGCATCTTCTGTCTCCAATGGCTGGTGCCCTCATTTCCTCTCCCTGGCTTTGAGGTCCAACAAATATGACTAGTCCATGGGCCAGAGCACAATCTCAGGGCCAGACCCAAGCAACCAGTTCCCACCAATGTGGGGTCACCAGGTCCTTGAAGATGGATCAGTCCCACACAGATCCACATGACCCATGAACGGAGCCAAAATGGATGACTGTATCTAACCAACGGTTTCTCTCTGTCATTGAATCATGTGAAATGCCTGAACGTGTTTTCACCAAATGGAGAGGCTATGTTAGAATGGTCTGTCTTAAAGCGCAGGCTGTGGGGCACGGAGCCAGGCAGCTATCCCACAGAGCAGCTGAAATGGAAGCCGACCAGAGGAGATGATGCCAACAAACCCAGACACACGACAGAGAAAACCAACCAGGGTTTCAAATAACAAGCCCTTCCAAAGGTAGGTTGGGCCCATCACTCCTCCACCCAAAGCCCTGCAGGTCTCAAGGTTTTACCTGGCCTGAATCACTGAAGCCTTTACCTCTCTGTGCTCACCTTATATCCCTGTCCTTCCCTCAGCTGCAGCCACACAAACCTCCCTGCTGGCCCCCAACAGGACAGTCCCGGGCTTATCTCAGGGCCTTGGCATGAGCTGTTGCCTCTGCCTGGAATGCTCTCCCCAACACATCTCTGTGCTCAGTTCTTCTCCTTCTTCGAGTCCCTGCTCAAAGGTCACATCCTCATGGAGCCTCCCCCAGGCACCAACCTATGCACATTCTATAGCAATCTGATAGAGTGCAAGATTTGTTTCCTTACTGTTTATCGTCTCCCACAGCTAAAGGTAAGCTTCATGAGGACAGGGATCTTATCTCTGTTGTTTATGGATATATTCAAGCACCTTGAAGAATGCCAGCCGTTAGGAGATGCTCAATAAATATCTGTTGAATGTTGAGTGGAAGTATGTCACAAAGTGCAGGGCTGTAAAATTGCTAAGTTGCAATTCAGCTTAATCCTCACTCAGGGGCTCCAGGTTACTGCTCTAAGGATAGATGGATTGGTTGACTGATTCTGTGAAAAGTTGAGGACTAAATTCTACAAATCCTACTTTTCCATAGAATGTCTTATCTAAAACATTACACAGAAAGGTGTGCATGGATAAAATTTTGAAATAATCCGACAAATCACAAATGAATCCGGTCTTGGAGACAAACATAAATCGGGAAATATCTTGACATACCACTGTCTCCTCCAGCCCTTTGAGGTCTTCTCTGGCTTGTTCCCTTTTATCGTTGAGCAATCTGAAAAACAAAAAGGAACCATAGACCACCACAGGGGACTCAGAGATTTCAGCAGATACTATTTGCATCCACAGATAAATCAACAAAACCCACCAACAAGCACACAAATAGCCATTGTCTGTTTTTAAATTAGCCCAATCTAACCAGAATATCATGGGGATGAGAGAAAATAGAGGAAATATTTAGAGTGCACTCACAAGAGCTTTTCCAGCTTCATTTCTCTCTCTTGGTCCTCTATTTTCAGCTTGTTATAATCAGAACTAAGCTTCTCCTGTTCCAGTTGCAGTTTCTGATTCAAACTGAAATTGAGAGGAAAAAGCAATATATTCCACATCAGTCTGAAATTCTGAGTCATCAGGCTAAAACCGTGGTTCTGTTCCAACCCTATTAGCTCTGTACAATAAAGGCAGTAATTCTGCAGGATTTGGAGGGATCACAGAACAGCCTCACAGCTTCCTCCGTGCCCAAGTGAAAACTAATTTCTGGGGTGCATCTAAGAGTCATGAAACATAAGGCTTTGAGGATGTATTTATAGTTTGCTTGTGCAAGAGCTTCAGGGGAAAAATAATGAGATGGGAGAAGGGCTGATATTTTAAAACAGAGAGCCCATGTCAGAAGAACTCTGCTTCCTCGGCCCCTCGGATGGCATGCAGTCACTTGGGGAACCTGATTTGGCCATTTCCACCTTCCCTCATTTCTGGTCTGATGTTCTAAAAACATCTCCCAAGTCCGAATGCCTCACTGATACAGGGACAGTTCCTGCCCTCGAGGAGTGGGCACAGAGAGAATTATGAAGAAAAGACAGCCTGGGCTCTGCTGCAAACAGAAACTCGCCATCTGGTTGAGGGTGTTTGGTCAACATTTACATCAGCCCAGGACTCATAAAACCTTTCCTAGAGCCACGCCTAAGCGCCTGTAAAGGAACAGCTATGCACTACCAGAAGGAAAACCCAGAGTCCATTTGAAAGGCACAAGCCAGGGAAGCTTCCCCCTCCACCTAACTCACTCACCAACCAACCCTCTTTCTCCCTCTTCCTTCCCTCCAACCTCCCCCTCCCTTCCAGTCGAATCTGTGAGGGTGATTAATCAGAATAACGAATGTGAGATATCCCTGAAGGGGAAAAGCACAACATGGCAACAGCAGGGGATGGCCGAAGAGGAGAAAAAGAGGGAGGAGGCTAAGTGCCTTCCTTCAGGAACTGGGCACCGAGCCTGGGTCACACCATTTAGACTTTTGCTTGGGTTACCATTCTCCTCTTTTAAAATGCAAATGCACCTTTCGAGCGGCTCACACACATTGAAAAGGGACTTGGATCAGTAGTCTGGAGAATTAAAGTCTAACTCCAATCTGATTCCTATTTAGCAATGTGACCTTAAGTAAATCATTTCGCCTTGCTTCCCATATAGAAATCTGTTTCTTCATCTACAGAAAGCGGGAGGGGAGGGAACAGTGTAGACCCTGGGTGGGGTGGGGGTGGGGAGGTCAGCATTTCAATATAATTGGTTTTCTTTGTAATCCCAGGTCTTTTATGCAGAGCATTTGAAAACATTATTCTGAAGGAGCAGAGGGCATGTCAGAGGCTGCGACAAGGCAGGAGCACAACATGAGGGGGTGTCACCTGAGAGAAACTGCAATGATGCCATCCTGGTGGCAGTGCCACAGGTCACTGGCACCTCTACCTGCACAGACACATGACAGTGTGGGGCCCTAAGAAGTGAGCACATGGAACCAGGTGGCTGGGTTGCCCAGTGAGCGTGTATGTGTAGGGGGAGAAGGGGAGGCGGTGGTGCTGTCTTCTCTCGAGTGTTTATTAACCTACTAGAATCCTGTAGTCAGGACCAAATTTTTTTTTTTTCTTTTCTTTTCTTTTCTTTTTTTTTTTTTTTTTTGGTGCTTTCATTACAGATGCTCCCCCCCATCTACTGGGGCATGCGTCCATCCAGCGGAATCACCTATGTGACCCTGGCCCTCGGGGACTAGGAGAGGCAGCTGGGCCCGCCTGCCACCTGCCATGCCAGGGCTCCAGGAGGCTCAGCTCCAGATCGGAGAACAGACCTTGGAAGCAGCCCGCCCAGCCTGCTGTGTCACCAGGGCAGTGCCCACAGGGCAAGGTGAGCAGGGCCCTCGACTAAGAGCCACATCCTTCCAGGCTTCCCCAAGAGGACCGAGGCATGACCACCCCCACACCCCTGGTGCCCTGGGCCGACTCACTCCCGAATCTCATCAATGATTTTCTGCTTCTCCTCAATTTCGTCTCGGAGTCTGGACAGCTGCTTCTGGTGAGCTTCCCGGTGGCTCTCCATCTGCTGCTCCAGCGCCTTCTGCATCCCAGGCCAAGAGAAACATGTCATCTACTCGTTGGCACTCAGCCCACTCTGTGACAAGCCCTGGATCTGGACCTACCTCCTTCCCTGTGTCCCTCAGATGTCAGATCCCAAAACTGGGGGCATTTCTGGCTGTTTTGCCCCCAGGACCCGGCCTTGCTTTATTGGGATAACAAAACCCAAGATCTGTTATCAAACCAAGTTGGCCCTAGAAGCCAATTAGCCCACCAACTAAATAAAAAGTGTTCCCTTGACCTTTTACAGCCCAGCCTGAGCTTCTCCAGCCAGGTCAGTCAGAGGGCACCAACCTCTCCCTATCCACGTAACCTCCAGATAAGCCTGTAACCTGTGTGAGCTGCACTCCCTCACATGTAAAACTGAGATAAAAGCCCCTGCCCTGCCCACTGCACAGATTTATGATGATGTCCAAAGGAGACCTTTTGGCAACAGCACTCTGAAAACAGGAAAGGGACTCCCACGACGCATGATTTTATTCTGCTGGCTGGAGCAAGGGCATGCCGTGGACGTCTTTAACTGTGGACCTTGACTCAATGAGGCTCATAGTTTGCCTACAACTAATCAAAATCCTACATCTTCTCCTGTCTCATTTTATTCACCTAAAAGTCTTACTCCACAATCAATTTTCCTTTACAGTTTAAAATGTGACCAAAAGAAAAATCTCTATGTTTGAGATAGAAACTCAAATTTGGTGTGTTCTGCGTAAAGGTTGGAGGAAGAAATCCTTAGAAGTTAACTCCGACAAAAGAGCCCATGCAGTGATTGGGGGTGCTACCCTTTCCCTCTTCATCAGGAATGGTGAAGACAAAGGTATTAACGCAACTTAACCATTCTCTACAGACATCTTGGGGTTTCTGGACTTGTTCATTTCTAAGCCAGGCTATACTCTGAGATCGACTCTGAATGCCCAACAACAGCCCCTCCCCTGTCCCTTGCCATATACGGATCTGAAGGTGACAGATTTTCCTAGAACAAGCATTTCCAATCCAAATGCATCAAATGCACACTGGGCTTGATGGAAGGGGCAGCCACACACACCTTCATTTCTTCAGCATCCTGCAACCGCGTCAGATGTTCCTTCTCCTTATCCTGGAAGCTGACTTCGTGCATTTTTTCTGTTTTGAATTTTAAATGATGATTTAAGACTTAACTGGTGGGACTCACACCCAAAAGCAAAAATTAAAAAACAAAAAGCAAGAAAAATGGCAACAGAGTGAAACATCAGCTTATATCAGCAATTACAACCATGGCATAAAGGAACAGGCAAGGACTTCTGGCTAAAGCCAAGGCTGCCCCCTCCTGAAGCATTCCTTCCACGGGGGAGCGCGACAACTGCAGGGGACAATGCTTACTGGGGGACAATGCTCACTGGGGGCGGCCCTCCTAGGACTGCACTCTGGCTTTATGTCACCGCACACCTGGGAGGGCTTGTTTCCCACCTGGTCTCTGTGAGCAGCCCAAGGTCATGTGCATGAACGGGCCTTACAGATGATAAAGCCCTCTGTGACTGTTAGGTGGCCTGTGGACCCATGCCATGATGGGAGTTCTAGGAAGACCTAATTTACCTCCCATGGGTAGGCGTTTATTCTCTAAGAATCTGGGGCAGGAAAACATACTCTGTTTCCAGGATGGGAACACGGGAAACAGAAAGATAGCATAACATTTTTGAGATTAAACCAGAAGGCCCCATGTTTGGGGCAGGGCTGCAGTGTGGCACTCCTGTCTCAGCATATGCTTGGTCGATGGTGCTCCCTAAATGCCAGCCAGGTGCAATGGGCAGCCCCAGCTGGGGAGCTGGGGTGCCAGGGGGCAGAGTGCTTTACGACAGTGACATTCAATTCATTATTTCTCTCTAGTCTGTTCCACTTCAGGTTTTCTTGCCTCTATTTTATTTCAACTCAGTGGCCCCACTGCAGGAACCACCGGATGCAAGAGAGAAACATGATTTTCCATGTGCAGTTTTGATGGTGCACCTACTCCTA
Source organism: Homo sapiens (assembly GCF_000001405.40). NCBI lineage: Eukaryota > Metazoa > Chordata > Mammalia > Primates > Hominidae > Homo > Homo sapiens. The sequence continues at coordinate 68,408 of NW_003571033.2, read as the reverse complement.
ACATGCCATGTGTTACCACACAAAGAACATGTTACAAGGTTAGAGCAGAGAGTGGGTATGTTCTTTCTTTTTAAATTTGCCTTGGCGTCTGACACAAATTGCATTTACTGAGCAAACTGTAAAACAACAATAAAGGATATAAATACTGATAACAGCATCACCAATCCCAACTACCCTATCACAACCACTTTTATCTTAAATATGAATTTTTAGGAACACAAGCATCCATTCACTTTTTTTTCAAGATGGAGTCTTGTTCTGTCGCCCAGGCTGGAGTGCAGTGCCACGATATCGGCTCATTACAACCTCCGCCTCCTGGATTCAAGCAATTCTCCTTCCTCAGCCTCCTGAGTAGCTGGGATTACAGGCGTGTGCCACCACACCCTGCTAATTTTTGTATTTTTAGTAGAGACAGGGTTTCACCATGTTGGCCAGGCTGGTCTCGAACTCCTGACCTCGTGATCCGCCCGCCTCAGCCTCGCAAAGTGCTGGGATTACAGGCGTGAGCCACCGTGCCCAGCTGCATCCATTCATTTTTAATAGTTATAACCATAGTAAGAATACAATGATATATTGTGATTTTCACCTAACATTGCATCATAAACATTGCTGCACACCTTCATGTATTTCATGTGAAGAAAAAGTTCTATTAAATAACACGCCATAGTGTATTAACTATTAGACATTTAGATGGCTTCCTCTTTTTTGCTGATCTAAAATTCTGCAATGAATATCTGAGGTGTGATGATCAAAAGGTATGAAAAATGTTACAGTTATTAATATGTATTTTCAAATGGCTTTCTGAGAAAATTCTAACAATTTTCATTGCAACCCATAATATATATGTTCTAGTTTCACATTGCATGGCACATACATTCTTAATCCTGTTCTACTTTCTGCATTTCTAGACCCTTCTCTTGAATTTCTGCTTATATTCATTAATATTTATGAAGTGCTTCCTATGTGCGAGGCACTTCCCTAAGCTCAGGAGATCACAAGGCTGGCTGGCAAAGGGTAGAGCTTGTTCAAGGGGGTGCCAGGGAAGCCACGGCAGTTCAAACTTTATATTAAGAGCAACAGGATGCCATGGAAGGGTTAGAAGTGTCCGTTTGGACAGAGAGAGAATGTGAATTTTAGAATCATCCCTCAGGATGCCACACAGTGGCTGGCCCAGAGCAGACTGAGGGTGGGCATGGGTAGATGGATGTAGCCACAGTCCTTAGTTAACCTGGACAGTGAACCAGAGGGGCCTCTGGCAGGTGAAATGGACCGGCTCTGGTGACCAACTAGAGTCAGGAGGTGGGGAGCAGGGGATTCTGATTTGGGTAACTGGGTGGACTGTGAGGAAATGGGAAGATGAGCAGATTCAGTGTGGGGATGGTCTCTCAGAAATCTCTCCTTTTAGGCTGGGCACGGTGGCTGACTCTTGTACTTTTGGGAGGCTGAGGTAGACAGATCACGAGGTCAGGAGTTCAAGACCAGCCTGGCCAATATGGTGAAACCCCATCTCTACTAAAAAATACAAAAATTAGCCAGGTGTGGTGACACGCATCTATAGTCCCAGCTACTCAGGAGGCTGAGGCAGGAGAATCGCTGGAACCGGGAAGCGGAGGTTGCAGTGAACTGAGATTATGCCACCGCACTTCAGCCTGGGCAACAGAGCGAGACTCCATCTTAAAAAAAAAAAAAGAAAGAAAGAAAGAAAAGAAATCGCTCCTTTTTTTCTAGTTATGGTTTTGTTTGCAGTAGACCTAGAAATGCTTTAACTGAACGAAACTAAACATCATGATTCCAGCCAACCAGAGGCTGTCTGACTCAGGCCAGGTGTTTGACACCTGCACGTTAGTCAAATATTTACCCTGGGCTCGGAGCTTTGCCAGCTCTTCGCTGAGCGAGTCCTGGGACTCTTCTAGCTGCCTCCTCTTCTGTTCCATGTTCTGCATGTAGTCTGTCAGAGACTTGATCTTGGCTTCGTGCTTTAAACAAGCAAAAAGGAAGAGTGAATGACTAGCAAGTGGTCATCCAGGCTGGCCTGGAATTGTCTGGTAGGAAAATGCGAGAGAGGAGGGGTTCCTGAGTCCCTTTTCTGAGTGCCACAACCAAATGGTGCCCATTTTACCCTTGCCTTGGTGTTCAGAATCATACCAAGACAGACCTCTGCTTCTCCCTGTGCTTCTCGGCTTCATTCCCCACAGACACCACTCATGGCAGGCCCCTCCTCACCATCCAGTTAACATGAGATGCCAAAGGCCGAGCTGGTTTCCCTTCTCAGAGAAAAGCATGCATGAGAGAAAGGGGCTGGGAAAAGTGCAGGGCTGAAGGCCTCATTCATTGAACATGCACCTCTGGATTCCATCTTCACCATTCAATTATTAGGTCTTCCCTTTTTCTGTCCTTCAGACACACCAATTCCCATCTCAGGGCCTTTGCATTTTCCTCTCCCTGGAAGCTTTCCCTCCCCACCATCACCACCCCACCACATGCCACACACACACACTACCTTGGCTAGCTCCTTATCACTCAGGCCCCAACACTTTCTTACAGCACCTAATGTCTACATCATTTGTCTTGTCTTTTTTACTTGCTAGCTCCATGAGGGTAAGTGCTTAATAAATATTCGTGAAATGAATGGATGAATGAGAGCTTGTTGGCTGAACAGGGACAGTGGTAACTTCTAGGCAGATGGAAAATATATACAGAACACTCCCCTCTCCAGATCTGGGGAGCTCAGCTTTAGGCAGGAAGACCCTGGAGACTGAGCTTTAATCTAATGAAATAACCTCTCCAGAAAACACAACTCCTCCGTTGGAACAGTCATCTTATAAGCACAGTTTTTGGTGACGAGGATGAATGTAAACAAAGAAGATAGCATTTCAGCTGGAAAGACTGTGTCAGATTCCTTAGATCACATCAGAATATAAACAGCCATGGTTTCTGTTACTTTTGAACCTCAGGAAATAATGGTCGAATCTTTGCTATGCATGAATTGTAGCAGAGTGCAAACCTCCACCTAATGGAAGCTGTGTTTGTTGCTGATGCAGAAAGAGAACTTTAGAACAGGTACTCTTTAAACTCAACACATCATAATATTCTCGACTCTGATCTCATACAGCAAAGTCAGTGTCAGTCTGAGACCTGGACGATTCAGAGCACCCCACTGGGCCCTCCTCTGGCTACACCCTACTCCACTAAGCAAAGAGTTCACAGGCCAAAGGAACATGTCCATCTGAACCTATGTCCCCTATAGACCACCCTCAGAGTACTGGGGACCTAGAAACTTCCTACTCCAGGTCTGAAGGCCAGGGCTGGCACTACCTCTTCCTCACCCATTTAAACAAATGGCAGCCGGCATCTAACAGTTCCATCAGTTCACACCGGGTGCAAAAGGGAGTTGGACATGGAGCTGGTATGTCCAGCTTGAAAGAGAAGAGGGTGGGCTGCAGGCCATGGGGTCTCCATGAGTACCCTTGCCTTGGCCCCGAAATGTTAGAGGCAGGCTGGCCAAAACACATGCTTTTGGTATCATAGATGACCTAGAAATCACAGATGAGGTACACTGTTGCCTAATGCATATCATTTTTATTTTAATTTTTTATAAATAACAACTATATAATCATAAAAAAATAAAGTTCTAAAGCAAATCCAGAAAAAGTGGTGTAAACCATAAACCAATCTATGGACTATTTCCCCCTGATATTCCTGGTCTTAGCTGCAGGAATGCAAAGCACAATATAAATCCAACTCAGCATTTTCATTTTCACTTAACTTTATACCATTAGACTTTCCCAATGGCTAGGTTTTTACATTTTTTATAAGAGCTGCATAATATTATTCCATGTAACTTTATCTTATTAGTCTATCAATGGATATTTGGGCAATTTATTTTATTATAATGCAAAATAACACTGTCTTCAATACCTTGCATAAAAGCTTTTAATATTTTTAATCAGGAAATGAGAATACCATATGAAATAAATTTTTTTCATTTTCATTAACAATGAAAAATACTGTCAGTGAAATTACTGGACTAAATTATACTTACATTTTTATGGTTTCTGATTTCCACGGTGCTTCCCAAAAGGACTGACCAAATTATACTTTTATCAACAATGTATGAATATATCAATTTTACTATCACATATTAGCACTGAATAATCTTTTCAATACATTTCTGCTTATTATGCTGGTTATAAAATGGAACCTTGTGGATCCATTTTAGACAGAGAGGTTGGAGATGTTTCTATGATTACACATTATTATGGTTAAAAGCATACCAGAATAAAGTGTGCTTTTGTCCGCCTCAGTATTATTTGACACACCAATCCATGTTGGTATCTGTTTCCTGTTTACTCCAAATGACAGCCTATTTTAATGCCTGGCATAAAGCAGCAAGTAGTATACAACTAGACCCCTCCTGGAAACGTCAGACCCAAATACCAAGCTCAGATATCAGTGGTAGCCCAGAAACTGGGTTGCTGTTTTCTGAAGCTACCTTATTAAACTGAAAATGCCACTCCAATAGGAAGAAGAGCAGCCTTACTCAATAGGCAAGTGAAATGTACCCTCGGGCTTGAAAAGCCCTTGAAGACATGGGTTTTGGGTTCACACACATTTTTTTGAGTCCTAGCTCTGTCATTCACGGGCTGTAGGTGTTTGGACAGACATTTAGTCTAAATCTCAGCTGCCTATCTGAGGAATAATAATAAAACCTGCCTACCAGGATTTTTTTCAGATTAAGTGAGAAAATGCATGTGAAGTACTTAGCACAGTGTATGGTACATAGTAAACACTCAATAAAATGCCACCTGCTACTACTACTATTAGTAGTAGTTTCTGTTTTTCCATATTAAAGTGGACCTATGGTAGAGATTAAAAGATGAGGGAATATTGCCTTACTTACAGGAGTTTTAGAGATTCCACCCAATCTTTTACATTCATTAGCTAGCTAGCCATCCATCTATGGATGGGTAGATAGATATATCCTCGAAAAAGGGAACGGACTCAACAGAATTCATCTATTTCACACAACAAAATGTAGCCCTAGGAATAGACCTGGGCTGCCATCACCTGGGGAGGCCAAGCTTACACAAAGCAGTCCCTCAACTAAGCCTAAGGTGCACCATCAGCACCAGCAAGGGCATGGAGGGAGCAGATCTCAAGACAACAAGAGTGCAATGATGGGGAAGGGAAGGGCCCACCTGGGAGATGAGCAGCTGGCAGGCTGCCAGCTCCCGCTCGCTGGCATTCATCTTCCTGTTGGAGTCCATCTGGGCGCTCTCGAGCTGTTTGCTGCGGTTCACCAGGGACTTGACCTCTGACTTCATCTTGCTGATGTACAGGCGGGCCATGGTAAACTCCTCCTCAATGACTCCATTCACATCTGCCAACTGAGCAAAGAAGGGGACACACTCAAATGTTGCCCACAATTTCCATAGGTTCACGGACTCCCTGGAAACCTGCCCCTGGATCCCCAAGGTGTCCATGGATTTCTGGTTCAGAATCCTAATTAAAGGACAAGCGGAAAGTACTAAACATTCAACCCCAAGTTCTCCTACACCTCAGGTGAAACTTTCAGTTGAAACCCCCTACTAAATATAATCCTCAATTAACTAGGTTTTTCATTACCATCAATTTTTAGAAAGAGAAATGACAGCATAAGAAGAAACACTGAAGATTTTTAAAAGGAGATAACTTCAAAAAGGTATTCCATTCAATGTCTTACACCTTACATCTCTGTAACAGCAGCGACACCCAATGCTCCGAAAGGTGATGCTGAATTCCTATAAAAACTCAAATCAAAACTTCATTAATGTTCTCTATAGTGTGCTTATTCAGGTAGACAAGTAGTGTAATGCCTTGAATATGTTTCTATAAACAAGGATTGAAATAAAAAGGTGTTTCTATGTAGTCCTCAATTAAACAGAAAATCGAATAAATAAGAATGTACTATGAATTACCAAAGGGCTTCTTGATGAAGGTTTCTCAGCATAACTTTTCATTACTACTACCAGTCTATTTTCCTTTGCCTTTTCACACCTGTTCCTTCCAAACAGACAGTAATCTAGCTCATTATTTAAGATCATCTGAGAACAACAGTCTAAATCCACCTTAGAAAAGAAGATTCTGACAGCCAGCATTCCCGCATGATCTATATTTAGTTTCTAAGTTTCAAAGCTCTACTTGAAACAAAAGTTGAAGCAAGCTACTTGGGATAGAAACCCATCCGCTGAAATGCAAACATGGTCTTTAAGAGCAATTGACCAAATGAGCAAGTAACTGTGTGCATATTTTGTTTAGCCACCAGAGTGCAGCCTAGCACCTTAAGAGAAAACAAAGAGCCCTGTCCAGAATCCAGCGCAGAAACACAGGCTTCCACTGGTTGAAAGACAATGACTCCAACCGTGGTTTTTTGATGTTCCACAGTACACTCTGAGTGCCCACCTATGTCGTTATTGATGTCATTCACTCATCATATCACTATCTGTTCAGTAAACATTTGAGGGCTAAAAAAATGGAACCAGGTATCAGCCCTGAAATTTGGTAGCAAATATGAAGTACACTAGAAACTGCTGAGTGCCTGTAGTTTGGCATCAACCTTACCATAAGAATTCAACAACAATATAAATAGCCAACACACATATAGAAAAGGCTCAACATCATTAATTATCAGTGAAATGCAAATCAAAACCACAATGTGAAACCACCTTGCTTCTGCAAGAATGGCCATAATAAAAAAAATAAAAAAAAATAGATGTTGGCATGGAAGTGATGAACAGGGAATGCTTTTACACTGCTGGTGGGAACGTAAACTAGTACAACCACTATGGAAAACAGTGTGGAGATTCTTTAAAGAACTAAAAGTAGATATGCCACTCAATCCAGCAATCCCACTACTGGGTATCTACCCAAAGAAAAGATGTCATTACATGAAAAAGACGTGCATGTTTACGGCAGCACAATTTGCAATTGCAAAAATATGGAACCAGCCCAAATGCCCATCAGTCAATGAGTAGATAAAGAAAATGTGGTGTGTGTGTGTGTGTGTGTGTGTGTGTGTGTAAAATCATGGAATACTACCCAGCCATAAAAAGGAATGGAATAGTGGCATTCGGAGCAACCTGGGTGGAATTGGAGACTATTATTCTAAGTGAAGTATTAATAACTCAAGAATGGAAAACCAAACATCGTATATTCTCACTCATAAGTGGGAGCTAGCTATGAGGACACAAAGGCATACGAATGATACAATGGACTTTGGGGACTTGGAAGAAAGGGTGGGAAGTGGGGTGAGGGATAAAAGAGCACACACTGGGTACAGTGTACACTGCTTAGGTGATGGGTGCACCAAAATCTCAGAAATCACCACTAAAGAACTTATCCATGTAACCAAACACCACCTGTCCTCCAAAAACCTACTGAAATAAAAATTAAAAATTAAAAAAGTTCAACAATAGTACATGTCAAGTGACTCCAGTGTCAACAATACTGCAGAATGTATGTCAACAGCAAGAAAATTGACAAGTATCTATTTCTGACTCTACCTTCATGGAGGTCCTTGTTAAACCCATTTTACTTCCGACTGCCAAAGATCTGCCTACCAAAACCACTCCTCACTATATTCCTTTTCTATTCTAATGGCATGGAGACACTGGGTGAGAAAAGCATGCAATCTTTAAGTTGAGTGTGTTCTGCCACTGTCTTTAGTCCAGTGTAGGAGAAGGATGAGAAACACCTTCCTGAGCCTGACCAGGTGTATCTTACATCTTGTCCAGCCTCTGCAGAAAGACAAAGTAAAACCCATCTCTTCCACATGGAATTCACAGCCTACACCAGCTCCTGGTAGGAAAACGCTGCTGAGCCAGAAGCTCTGGCACCCTGGGAAGAGAATGAATTCCTCTTCTTTTCCAGGTCTGTCAAAGTAGGACACTTTGTCTTTTATGCCTAGATCCCATGTAAATTGAGGAAGAGTAAAAATATAGATATGTATAAAGATGGGCTTCCTCCAAAATAAGAGCTAGACATTTCTTCTCCCAAACCAGAGCTATAACTTCTGAAGCCAGTTCCTGTCCTTGGAGATCTAAAAGGAGATTTTGAGTTTGTGCCTGATGGATAAAAACAATACCCCTAACAAAGGGGTTTTAACTGTGAGGTTTCTTACCACTACAAAGTTCATATATTTAGTGGTTTCATGTTCAAAAGTTTCCAGTAATTTCAGGACACTGTTATTTAAAAAAAAAAAAAATCAGTTTGCTGCTGAAATTTTATTTATAACTGTCCCAGAGTCTGATAATGCCCCCAGTAGTACATACTAGACCATGGGATCCAGTATCAATGACCAACCCAGGAGAAAAGACCACACCGTCATGAAATCTATGGAAGATGTGGCCTGCTGCTTCTACCTGCCTATACAGGGAGTCATCCCTACCTCTCCACCTCCCTACCCCCATCTCTCAAGCATGGAGTGGCTGTGCACGATGATGAACTACTGCCATTCCTAGGCCACACCCAAGGTAAGTAAGGTGCATGTTCACATTTAAAGTCATAAAAGTTAGAATGGGACAAAAAGAAGTCAGTGTGGGCCAAAAGAAAATAAGGCAGCCAGTCCAATTCAGTTCATTTACTCTACCTCAACTTCTATTCAGGTTCTGGCTAAATTCCTTTGAAGGTAGCAAGGTAAGGTAGGCCCCAAGAAATACAAATAAAATCCTAACCCCCCGAATGACTGAACAGACCCCCTCGTGGCCAAGGAGACCCCAGAGAAATGTTAAATACCGAGTTCCAGCCCAGGACAGATTGGGAAGTTGGAAACGCCTGGTCATACACCCTCCCTCGCCAATCAGCATTAGGCTTTCTTCCCCAAGGGTTAAACAGAAGCCAGCCCTTTTGAAATATTCACTCCACTGCTTCACTGCTGATAACCACAGCCTGCCCCTGCCCCTCTCTTTTGCAATTTCAACACAACCACCAACCAAAGTTCCTTCCCCAACGAGAGACCACCAACCATGAAGTGGTTCTGGTTCTGGCCAGGCTACTAAGGCTGCACACAGCCTTCATATCCTCTGCTTCACCCTTTGATGTACAGGGCCTAATTATAATACATTTAAATGTTAAGTCTCCAAATAAAAGTGAACATGGGACCCATGTTGCATACATGTTTTCCTACTACACATGCACATGCCACTCCTTCATGAATCTTCATAGCTCCTCCTGTAACCTGTTGAATAAGTTTATTTGGCCACCCTGTGAAAAACATAAGTCCCTGTCATTCTTCCCATCCTCAAAGTGCTTCTTTCTGGCTTCTGGCCAAAGGCTACACTTCCCAACCTGTAAGAGTGGCCACCCTGCAGGCTGCAACCCATTATGAAAAATAAAGCTCTCCTTTCCAAATGTATGGACCTCATCATACTTCTGTTGACAGTTCAGTGCCACCAGTACATGAAAGGAAGAGAAGGCTCACTCATAAACTTCGATAAAGTTAACATTGGGCTCATCTTGTTATATGCTGGACTCATCTTGTTTTGTTGATGAAACAAAATGACTGGACTCTGGAAATGTTTCAAGACATGATTGAGCTGGGGATATATGGGTTTTTCTGTTTTCTGGCTTTTCAGAGCTGTCATATTCTAGAACTGTGGACTGGGGAAGGCTCCAATAGTCATATTTTTCCCCCATCCCAGAGCCCTACCAGGAGGGACCTTGTGAAAATTAAATGGCATTTTAGGAATAAAAATACAAAACCACTGAAACAAATTCCCTTGATCTGTTCATTTTCCTATATCAAAAGAATTACTATATCAATTCATAGTCATGACCAATAAGAAAAGTACCTGTACCTATAAGGATAAATCTAAAACAAATGTGCAGAAGTCAAGTAATTTCTGAGCCGACAATTTTTGATACTGTCTGAGCTTATCTTGTCATTTTATAAATTAGAAAAATGAAGCCCAAAGAAGTACAGTCACTCATCCAAAGTCATACAACTACTCCCTTAGCTCTTATCACCCTAATGATGAACTCATAATTATATGAAAAAAACCAGAATGATAGAAATGATGGCTATCAATGAAATTAACTAGGACATCCAATGTCTGGAATCCAAAAATAATCTCAAAAATATCCAATTGAGTATTTAAAAACAATCTCAATCTCAATCATAGTTCAGATTCCCAAAGGTAAAGACTCTTTTTTCAATACTGAAGCACCCAGACACTCCTGATTTCATTAGCATTTTCATCAGCTCTATTTTAGAACTTAGCATAAAAATACCTTCTTCCTTTATCGTTATCAGCAGCAAGCATCAACTTCCCATATATCAACTCCACCTTCATATTGTGAGGCCATTTAATCACCTCACATCGAATTTTATTGCTCAACACCAATGTATGGTTCAAAAAATTAAATCTTCAAATATAAAATCACCAAATTGAAGCTTAATAAGATTAACTCTATAGTATCTGAGAAGTCTGTGCTAGAATTAGATTCATTCACAAGGATTTATGAAATAATCAGTTACAATAAAGGTTCCATGAAAGAATGGTTACATTTACGAGCGGTCATGTACTCTAAGCTGGGACCTGTTACACCATCCAAAAACGGCTTTCAACATTTCCCAGAAATAGTCTACAAAAGGAAGCCTGATCTTGGGAGCATTTTCCAGTATTTAACAATCCCAGCTCACGACCTGAGTGTCCCCACTAAGCAGACTGATGTAGAATTCAGCCTTTTAAAGATAAAATGGCTAAATTCAAAGAATTTGGTTTCAGGGAATTGTGACATGTAAGGTAAGCAATGTAATACCATTCCCCAGCTCAACAAAATCAACATATATTCATCAATGACTCCTTTGTATAAGATGCTGTATTATTATAAAGCTATGGTGATCAAAACATTGTGGTATTGGCAGGAAGATTTGATCCATGAAACAAAATAGAGAGACCAGAAACTGCCCCCACATACTTTTGGGGGAGATGGGGACATTCATTATCTTAACGGTGCTGATGGTTTCATGACTGTACACATACGTCAAAATTTCTCAGACTGTATACTTTAAATATGTGCAGCTTTATGTAAATTATACCTCAATAAAGCTTTTTGTTTTGTTTTAAAAATGTCTCTACCCTGTCTTTTTGGTTAATAACAACAATAGCCTTTCTATATTCCAGCAAATTGTTACCTGTTCTGGGCTGATACCATTTTTAACTCTATCTCTTCCTTCTATTCCTAGTTTCTGGACAACTTTATACCACCCCTATTATCCCCACATCTCTTACTTTCTCGCTGTCAACAGCACCAATGGCCAGGTGTGGTGGCTCACGCCTGTATTCCCAGCACTTTGGGAGGCAGAGGCAGGCGAATCACTTGAGGCCAGGAATTCGAGACCAGCCTGGCCAATATGGAGAAACCCCATCTCCACTTAAAAAAATAATAATAATAAAAAAATTAGCAGGGCCTGGTGGCACATGCCTGTAATCCCAGCTACTCGGCAGACTGAGGCACATGAATTGGTTGAACCCAGGAGGCAGAGGTTGCAGTGAGCTGAGATTGCGCCACTGCACTCCAGCCTGGGTGACAAAGCAAAAGTTTGTCTCAAAATAAATAAATAAATAAATAAACAAATAACCAAGAGCACCAATATGTACAACCCCAAGGGATTCATCATGATTGGTCTATGCCAATTATAGTAATCCCAGTCCCCTTTGCTTTCCCAGAAATGTGGAGTGGTCATGTGATCCAGTTCTGGCCAATGAAGTGTAAGGATATGTCTCCTGGGGACTTCTGGGATATGTTTCCCTCCTGGATTAAAGAAGTTGGCCTTTTCAGCCCATCCTGCCTTGGATGTGGTTGAGTGAGGATGTGATGATTGGTACTACAGCAGCTATTTTGCTACCATGAGGCATAATCCTCTGGATTATGAAAAGGAAACAAGCTGAGGACAGGAGAAAGGAAACAGAGAAAAAGCCTGAGAACTTGACATTGTTGAGCCATGGCACCAAAACAAAATTTGCTTCTCAAACTTTAATAAGCATAAAGAATCACCTGGAGAATCTTGTTAAAGTGCAGATTTTGATTCAATAGGTCTGAGGTGGGGCCTGAAAGGCTGTAGTTCCAATAAGCTCCCAGGTGAGGCAGATCACACCCTGAGTGGCAAGATTTTAGACTTCTCATATTGTGAATAATTAAATGTGGTTTTATTTCTTAAGCCACTGTTAGAATCCTATCACTTTCACACTGACTTGGAGAATTTTCACTTCACTGGGTTCTTTCAGAAAAGGAAAAACACAATTCTGAGACTAGAACTGTTGCTTAAGCTATTTAATTCCAAACTTCTGCAACATTAGGAAATAAGTTGAGAAATAAACCAATTTGAGAAATAAACCAATTTACACAAAGCCAACCAACATTTGAAGACACTGCCTAGATTTGAAAGATAATTTTTTTTCTCCTCCTCCTCACCCCAACAAACAATTCACTCAGTCATTCAATTAGCCCTTTTTTCATTCATTCAAACACTAACCAGCACATGGCAGATGCAAAGCACAGTGCTAAGCATTGAATGCTTAAAAGAGTAAAGCACAGACCCTACTAACTTGACAGGAGCAGGTAGAGAGGATAAAAGAAGGGCTGGCTTACAGTTTTCACATCATTGGTGCCAATAATTCCACCTATCTCCCCCAGATCTTTCAACAGCAAATTCAGGATCTCAGTTGCCCTTTTCTTCTGGTGGTTGCTAAGCTCTTGTAGCTGGCTCAGCTCTCTCTGTGTGGTTGTCAATGTAGTCTGAAAAACAAATTTCAACAACAAATTCAAAGGGTTGCCCATCAATTTCATACACTCCACATTACAAAGAATAACACCATCATGTAGAATGGATTTCTTTTACATGACTTCAACCTAAGAATCCTTTTAAGGCAAACTCTCGCATAGCACTGCATTCTTGGATAAGAAGGGGAACTCTTTATCAACAAGTTGTATCACATGGCCTGATACATTATATGTCTACATATCAGATGACAATTTCCAAGTCAGGGAAATAAGTTAAGCCAAAAAGGAAGTCCTTAAATTTATAACATGTAATTGCATCTTCCTACTTACCAGATATTCTATGTCAGTCCTATCTGTTTCATTTCAGGGTCTAAACTTACCTGCAAGGGTCCCCACCTTCACTCCTAAACAAACCTGCTCCCTGGGCCACCTCCATATTCCCACCTAAATTGATAAAGACAGATGGGTCTAGAATAGATGGCCCAGAAGAACATTAATAAGTTTAGAAAACAACTTCAAAAAAAAAAGTCTTCCAATTTTCAGAGTGAAGCTGAATTAAACACCCTTCACCTTTTTTCAAAATTAGGTTACGTTCAATAGTTGGTTTCTTACTATATAGCAGAAGCTCTATTTTCTTGTCAAACTTTAATAAACCCATCTCTTTTTCATCCTCATGTATCTTGCCAAAAGGTATGTATTCTTAACTAACGTTTAACATCAGTAAAACAGTTATCTATTTATACAATTCTCCCATATGCAGCTAGAGCATTTTTAAACAATCTGTCTAATAATAGTCTTCTAAACCAATCTAGTAATACTTTGGTTTCATGGCAAATTAAAAACTGTATTATGAAAAATGTTTCATTGTTTTAAGAAGCAAGTAACATGAAGGACTAATTAAAAGAATCTCATAGAAAACACTAAGCAGAGAAAATCTAAGTCGCCCCCTTTCCTAAGTGACTTCTGAATGAGTTTGTTTTATTTTGTTTGGCATTGCCAACTGCTTATGTCATCTTGTTTTTAAAATCCTCAGAGGCAGTAGTCCCCATCTTGGGAAGCTGCTAGAAAAGTCTTCCTCCATGGAGCTGAATGTATGCCGCGAGGAGCATTTCCTGTCAGCCTCACAGTCAGCAGACCAGCACTCTCCTGCGCCATCTGCTACTTCTTTTTAAACTGGATGCTTTCCACAAAGCAGGCTGGGCACAAGCCCAGGACACCAGGCCATTGGGCAGAGGTGCTAAGGATAGCAGGTTAGAGCCAGTCAGCTTCTCCACCACCCATTTTCCAGGTAGAAAAGGACACATCCCACCCCGCCATGCCAAACATTCACTGCTCCTGCTACCGCTAGCTCACTGCAGAACCTATGGCATCTTTCATTTGGAGAATCTGGAAATAAGGGAATGTGCAGGCTGAAGCACTGGCTTAGAACAGCAAACAAACAAACAAGGGCAGCTTAGTTCCAGGCTCCTGAAGGTAACAGCTAGGACAAAAAGCTGACGGGAGGGAATGGAATTCATTCAGGAGGGTATAAGCAAGAAGAGTGAAGTCCATACCTTCTATGGGACCCTGCTCTTGCCAGTAGCAATGCTTTGAGATGTATGTATTGATATCGTAGCATATGCACAGATCTGTGCTAAGTGCTTTACATAAACTGTCACTAATCCTCACACCATGCAAGCAGCATATGATCGTCACCATTTTTACAGATAAGGGAATGAATACTCACAAAGCTTAACTGTCTCAGCTAAGGTCTAAGAGTTATGAAGTCAGACTTGTAACTAAGACTTTTCTGGCTCCAAAGTCTGCACTCTTTTGACTATTCCCACAAAGCATCCCCACTAATGTTATTAATTCTCTGGATATAAAACAGTCATGATATGCAGTTCCAGGAAGAGTGAACAAAAGTCACTTGCACGAAGTATTTCAATTGTTGGAGGGACCTCAGAGAATGCATCTAACACTGAATAACTATTCAGCCACTGCCTCCTTATACCATGTCTGTCAATGAATATCAATATGAGTACAGGAACGGCAGCCAAGGAAGTCCCACCCCCTAGACACAAATGCTCCAACCGTTTTCTGGGCCAGCTCGTCTGTCAGCTGCTCATTGGCCCGGGTCTTATCCTCCACTTCCTGTGATTTCTGGTCATAATTGACAGCCAGCTCCTCCAGGGCCTGGAGAACTTCTTTCACCTCATCCTTGGCTGCCTCATTTTCAATCTGGAGACGTGTCAGCTCCTCCTGTATCTTCTCATAGTCTCTTCTTGTGGAAGCTAAAAGCTGGGGAAATGAGATGGCATGGAACTTGTGAATCTAATGTTCAAATGTTTATGTTCTATGCTGTATCCAAAAGTAAGTAATTTAAAAACCAGATATAAGAAAACAAGTTGAAAAAGTTCAGGATGATGGGAAACCCCACTGTATGGTCCAGACGATAAAAAAATAAAAGAAAAAGACAGATATGTTCTTATTGCAAAAATCTGTTTTGTGTGCATGTGTTTTGTTTTGTATGTTTTGTTGTTGTTGTTGTTAGTTTAAAGCTGTATACCCTTAACTCAAAGAAAGAATTACACATCAAAAAATCACTGCATTTTATAGCTATTCCATATTTTAAGCAAAGGATGGGGCCAGGCGCAGTGGCTCATGCCTGTAATCTCAGCACTTTGAGAGGCCGAGGCAGGTGGATTACCTGAGGTCAAGAGTTCACAAACAGCCTGGCCAATATGGCAAAACCCCATCTCTACTAAAAATACAAAAAAAAAATAGCTGGGTGTGGTGGTGCACACCTATAATCCCAGCTACTTGGGAAGCTGAGGCAGGAGAATAGCTTGAACCTGGGAGGCAGAGGTTGTAGTGAGCCGAGATGATGCCACTGCACTCCAGCCTGGGCAGCAGAGCAAGACTTCGTCTAAATAATAAATAAATAAATAAATAAATAAATAAATAAATAAATAAATAAGCAAAGGATCTGAGAGTCGTTTCCAAGGAAATGACAAGGAATAACACTTACATAATTTTTAAGTGTTATCAGGATTTCACATTGTAAACTGGTTGACTTCACAATCAACTAAAACAGTATACAACAGTGGTCAGTCACCTTTTTTTTAACATCCATCATGAAGATATAGAAGGATGTACCCCAAACAGTATCTTTAGTTAAAAGCGAATGTCTGGGCTTGCCGACGCTCTCATTATCTTTGTTCCTAAGTTGATTTTCCTATATTGAACAGATACTGCCTTGATAGTATAGAAAAAGAAAAATGTTAAGGAGTTTTAACAGTAACAAGAAGTAAAGTTTATCCCAGGCAGCTGTGCCAATGTGGGTGAAACTGGAGTAGAATGGGAGGTAGAGGGCAGGAAACTCAAGCAAATGGAAGGCCTCGACTATAGCTAAGAGAGAGAGATCAACGAAATATGGTTCACCTGATTACAAAAGTGTAGATTATCTCCCTACCAAGGGAAGTGTTTGGGCAGGGGAGGTAATCATTGTCCTAAAGAGATGAAAGGGAACAAAGAGGAAGGAAATGGTTACAGAGTCCTTTATGCCTACAGAGGCCTGGGATTGAGGACAGAAACCCAGGCACCTGCTGTCATTGCACAGTGGGATCCAATCCATAGCATTTCAGCAACGAAGCAGAAAGCAACTTAAAGCACAAAAGAAAACAACACTTAAACGGTCCTCAGCAAGGGAATTATTAATTGTGCATGTTTGATAAGTTGGCTGGCTATCCTTTGCTTAGGTTCTTGTTTGTAAAATACTTGGCAACACACAATGTAGTAAAAACACTTGCTGAAGAACTGAATGCCTTTGGGGAGAGACTGAAAACAATTTGCCTCCTTTTTAGTGTATCAAACATGCTGACGCAGTACTCGGGCCCCGTTCTCTTTGCCTTCCCCTCCTCTACCTTCTAGTTTTGTTTTTGTTTGTGTATCCCTACAGGACAGCAGGAGAACATGGTGTATATCAAAGATCTGAGCAAGCTGATTGCAAAACTGAAGTAGGACTCAAACAACAGGTCACAGCATTGCTGGGTATTAGGAGGCAGAATCATCCTTGCCCAAGGCCAGGTGCAGTGGCTCACACCTGTAATCCCAGTGCTTTGGGAGCCAAGGCAGGAGCCAAGCCAGAGGCCGGGAGTTCAAGATCACCCTGACCAACATAGAGAAACTCTGTCTCAAAATATTAAAAAATTAGCTAGGTATGGTGGCACATTCTTGTAGTCTTAGCTACTTGAGAGTCTTAGGCGGGAAGATCATTTGAGCTCTGGAGGTTGCAGTGAGCCATGATTGCACCACTGCATTCCAGCCTGGACAACAGAGAGACCCTGTCTCAAAAAAATAAAAATAAAAAAGGATCATCCTTGCTTGATCACCCAACCAAAGGTCTCTGCCCTTCCAGAACGAACTGTAGCCACTGGCTACTCAATCTCAAAACATCAGGGGTTTTTGAAAGTCAGACATTTATTTTCTAAATTCAGTGATAATCAGCTTGTAAGAGGCAGTGAAGGGACATCTACCAAGAAATTTCCACATGATTCTGTAATTATGAAAAGCTTCTATGCCAATTAAATTCCTGGAACAAACATCAACAACAAAGAGTAATAGAAGAACTTTGTGGAAAAAAAAATATATTGCATTCTTTACCTCATCCTGATCCAACATCTGTTGCTTCAGCTTTTCAGCCAGCTGGCTCTGCTGGTTAATTTCATCATCCTGAAACGAAACATCATGTTTGTTTTTTTGGTTAGTTATGTCATTTTTGATATCCCAGTCTCCCAGTGACAGGCAGCTACCATAAGCTTGCTGATAAGAAGGAAGGAATAGTGTGGTGTTACTGCACAGAAAACAGACAGATTCCGAGATCTCATTCAGTTAAAATACCTCCTCACCCACCTTTCTCAGCAGATGAAACAGCTGACTATTCTGGAAATATAATATCCTGCACATTCAACCCAATTCCTGCTCATTGAGAAATCAGAGATCTACGGTTTGGGAACTGAAAGGGACGTTAGAGATATCCCTCCCAATTCAAAGATGCTAACAGTGAAATTCCTAATTCAAAAAATAAAGGAGTGAATTTCTACCTAGCTGCACTGTCATATGTTATTATCCCAAATCTTGTCAAATGCATCAGTAAGCAGGAGTGCTGCCACCAGATCGGCAGGGAGAGCCAATGTTTCCACTTCAAACCTCTCAGACCAGAGAAAAATGAACTGGAGATTTGGCATTGGAAGACCTCCCTCTCGATTGGAAGTTAATTTTCTTAACAGTTAAAAAAAAAAAAAAAAAAAAAAAAAAAACCTCAGGGCAGCTGAGGGACAGAAGCATTCATGCTTACTTTCTGGGCTGTCACTGAAGTGGGAAAGGCAAATTCGCTCTTCTCACTCTTTTTCTGCCACTAGGTGTTGCTGCCACAAAAGCAAGGGTATTCGCTGCCCACCTCTCCCCACCTCCCCTTAGACTCAGTCCACCCCCAGTGCAGGCAAAGCAGCAGGCAGATGATGCCTAACTACATAAAAAACACAGTCTTCACTGCATTATTTTCACGACTTCAAATAAAATTTGAAACATAGCCTGTGAAGATGACAACCTGGCTTCTAGGGTCTAAACACCAAACAGAGTCAGATTCAATTGAGCATCCTTGGGCACTTCTTCGTGCCAGGTCCTGTCTAGGTGTTTTCATCAGCAGCCCAGAAAAACACACCCTGTACTGTGCCTTTTGCCTTTTCCAGGGGTGAAATCTAACCCAAACTTAAGGGCCTGGGTCACAGAACCTCAATGTTCCACGGGATATTCCCCAGCCTGTTTGGTGATATCTATGCATACATTTGAATCATGTTAATTTAATGTCACAAACTAATGCTTTCCATGGAGAAAGAAAATTCTAAAATCAGCCATACAGGATCTGAATCTCCTTGTCCTTTATGTAGACCATCATTTGGCTTTGCTTTTCTACTTAAAGAGATCCTGTTTCTACTGAACCCTTTACACCAATGTTTCTTTAATGGTTCTATTTTCCTGCACAAATCATATTAGGGAAATTATACCAGAATGAAACCTCCAAAAACTGGCACTTCTACAACTAGAAGACTATTTTGTAGATATATTTTCTCTTCTACTTTATAAACTTAGCACGTCAGTTACCAGTAACGATTTTGTGTTTATGTTCCTGAGCACTTAAATATTAGACAACTTAGCATAAAGGATTCAAAGAATTTACCATCGGAGAGCCACCATCTCTTCTCCTGGGACAAATGGACAAGCACTACAAGTGATATAAACCACAAGAGGAGAGAAATGGAGTGAACTCTGTCCTTACGCTGTGCTCATTTCAAAGCCTGAAGATGCAGGCTTCCTCCCAACAGATGACAAGCTGGGATGCAGTGATTTTTAAGGTACAGTGAAAAACCAAGGGCCCCTGGCCCCACCTGGGAAGGATGAAGAACAAGGATGATACTACAGAAGACGTGGATCACTTGTATCAGAGACATTTCCCAAACTATATTTACCCTTTATTAAGGCAACTTATCTAAGGAATTAATGAGCTCTACTGTGATTTTTTTTAAAGTCTTTCAAAACCTCCAGAATAATAAGGTGTGCTTATATCTACACATTCAACTGCATCTCTTAGAACATGCATAAGCACGCTCACTCTGATGCCGGTTCTAAAGATCTTGTCCATGGATAACAGATTTTAAAGCACTTTTCAGAAAGTATTTTATACTTGAATTTTCTTATACATGAAATAACATAAGGCCAGTTACAGTGGCTCACGCCTATAATCCCAGCACTTTGGGAGGCCAAGGCAGCTTGATCACTTGAGCCCAGGAGTCCGAGACCAGCCTGAGCAACATGGCAAATCTCCGTCTCTACAAAACATACAAAAAAAAAAATTAGCTGAGTGTGGTGGTATGTGCCTGTAGTACCAGCTACTCAGGAGGCTGAGGCAGGTGGATGGCTTGAGCCTGGAAGGTTGAAGCTGCAGTGAGTTGTGATTTCACCACTGCACTCTAGTCTGCGCAACAGAACAAGACCCCATCTCAAAAATTAAAAAAAAAATAACATGCGGCCAGGCGTGGTGGCTCAGGCCTGAAATCCCAGCACTTTGGGAGGCCGAGGCAGGTGGATCACGAGGTCAGGAAATCAAGACCATCCTGGCCAAGATGGTGAAGCCCCATCTCTACTAAAAATACAAAAATTAGCCAGGCGTGGTGGTGTGCGCCTGTAGTCCCAGCTACTCAGGAGGCTGAGGCAGGAGAATTGCTTGAACCCAGGAGGCAGAGGTTGCAGTGCACTGAGGTCGCACCACTGGACTCCAGCCTGAGTGACAGAGCGAGACTCCATCTCAAAAAATAAATAAATAAATAAATAAATAAATAAATAAATAAAACAAAATAATATGCACACCCTTATAAATGAGAAACTGGTCAACCTCAGTTGTCAACAGGTCACTGTTCACCTTTAAGTATAAAAATGTTTTTATTGCAATGGTAATCTGCATAAAAATAATCAACTTTCATTTCTACTTAAGCTTGGTTCGTGTCAGGATCTCCAAGAGCAGAGCAGTACTGTAGAGGGACAGAGACTAAGAGACAAGGAGTGCCAGCGCCAACTTGTTCACATTGTGTCTCTGCTGGTGGCCCCCTTGGCACCACCCCTTCCACACCACACACGGAAGTAAGCAGAGCCCAGCCCAGCCCAGGAGAAAGAAGGAAGCTAATATTTACTGGGCACCTGCAATGTACTAGAAACTTTTAATCCTCACCACAGCCTTTTGAATTAACAGATATAAGCCCCATGATACAGATGAGAAAAAGCACCTTCAGCAGGGCCAGGCGCCAGCCCAGGACTCAGCATTATTGTCACAGGTCTGCCCAGGTCTCAGTGTCATTGTTACAGGTCTGAGTCCACAGTGCATGCTCTCCCATCACACAGCATAGCCTTGGGAGAGTACCTGTGCTTGGAGCCCTGGCGGGGCAGCACGGAGGAACAGAAGGGACAGCTGGGAGGAAACCGTGTGGTCTTTCTCCCTCCACACCCTAAATAGATTCACTGAGGTTGACCAGGTCCTCATTTAAAGGGCTGAGGGCAAAATGAGATGAGCACTGGGGTGGGAGTCAGAAGATATGTAACTTCATCCTAGCTCTGCCACCTATATGTGATATACACTTGGGTAAGTCACATAACCACCCTGGGCTAGTGCCTCACCCAAACCTAAATACCTCCTGTTCTACCTTTCAGTAGACTAAGAAGGTGCCATATCCCACCTCATGTATTCTTCAAGCGTCAAACCACCTACATCAACAGAAACATGGAAG
Source organism: Homo sapiens (assembly GCF_000001405.40). Taxonomy (NCBI): domain Eukaryota; kingdom Metazoa; phylum Chordata; class Mammalia; order Primates; family Hominidae; genus Homo; species Homo sapiens. The sequence goes on along the minus strand of NW_003571033.2, from coordinate 47,328 downwards.
TGCCTCCTAGAACATTTCAGAGGAGGACCCCTAAGAATGACAGTTGGTAAGACATAATCAGGCAGTCTTTGGGAAGGGTCACTGAGGGCAAACCATTAGCTCTGGTGCCCCCTAAGGCTGAGGCTTCTAGGCTCAGTCCTCTCCCACGTCTCTCAGCATCATCATGTGAGGGACCACAAATACTAGCCTCCAACAGCGGGCCTTACAGAATCTTCAAAGCACATGCTGTAGGAAAATGACATAACAAAATGGCCTAGGCTGACCATCAGGAGACGGAGACTCTCAAGCCAGCTCTTCAGCTACCAACTGAATGCTTTGGACATGGCATTTTCATCTCTCTGTCCTAATCACTACATTTCGTATGTCTGATTTGAGACTCTAAAGTCTCTCTCTTGGATCAATGAAAGTTCCCTGTGCTGCCAAGGTAAATGATCCCGATTCCGCCATGCAGGCGTCTATTCATAGAGAACTGAGCACAGAAACAGCTTCTCACCCTCTCACCCAGGATTCTCTGCGATTACTAAAAATGAGCCCATTGGTTCTAAAATGAGGAAAAAAAATGCATATGGTCTAATCTTCTTTACTGTTTAAACAATAGCAATTCCTTGGAGAAATCAAGAAATTGCATATACTGTTAACTTACTATTGATCTCCTTTTTCTCTTTGTTTTGCATAAAATACATAGATAGAAATGGAAGATAACGGTATGCGTGGAGCCTAAAGGGCAAGTAACCCATCTCGTGGGTGCGAATATTTTATTAAATGTGTTTTCAGAAGAGTAGGATGACCCCAGAATAAAGCTTTGGTTATAGTGCAAGCTCTTGGAATCACAAACAAGCAGAACTAGCTTCCTTAAGGCAACCAGTCACATTCAGCTTGCAAAGGTCATACCAGTCTCTGAGCTTTACCTCAAAGAGAGAAGCCTGTAAGATTAATGGCAAGGTTAACATAACAAAGCTGCTTCATACAAGCCAGAGGTGTCCCTAAGCACTCTGAGCTGAACCACAATAGAAAAGATTAAATCAGGCTAAAAATATCAGCAACCCTGATGAAATCAACTGAAAGGATTTAGAATATTCCAAGGGCAACATGCCAAGATCATATAAAACATCAATTCAATTCTCATGCCTCTGGGATTCCTAACCCAACCTTTAATTGATTCTCCCAGTGTTCTCCAAGGCCTCTTTTCCTCTATGCCAACTTGTGCATTTACATGACTATTTGAGTCCCAAAAGCTTGTCATAAAATTGGACATCCCCAATTAGCATGTACAAACTACTTCATTCAAGAATATACCCGTGAAAAGAGCTTCACCAATTAGGTGAAGCCATCAGACCACACTGCTATCGATTTCTCATCCCAGGGCCTTATGGTTATATGATTAAAGTACATGCTTGAATTCTGGGAGTCACAACCCTTGCCCCTAGCTGAGGCTACTGCTGGAGTTTCCAAGAGGTGAAGGATAGGCCCAGAGAAGAAAGGGAGACTTAAAGATCATAGACACTCACACACCCCACCTTTCATGCAGTAATCAGCCCAGTCCAATTTCTAGAAGACAAGACTCTAAATAGCACCCGCCTGTCTATCTAGGCCAACACACTGCTTTTTCAGTCAAGTTCCCTTTAACATTTCTATTCCACATGAATCAAACTCCCTGAATCTGCACCATCAAAGTGCTAGGGTAGGTATTAGGAAACCAGAAACAAAGATCGGGCTGTAGCCCTACATCAGCCCCATAGGGAGCTGGGACCTGCCATCTTTCATCTTTGTAGCAGAATGAGAACTATGAATCTCTGGCCACAGACCTTGTCATCCAGTTGTCTGTAGAGACTGGAGATCTCCTCATCGTACTTCTCTTTCTCCTCTGTAGAGATGCCAGCAACAACAGGAGCAATATTGTCTATGATGGGGGTGTTATCACAAGGCTCCAGGTTCTTCTGGTCCTTGGCACTGATCTGTTCATCCTCAGGCACAGCTTCTCCTGCAAAACATAGCCGAGCAGAGTTGGGGATTAAAGAAATTGAGTATGCAACCCTCCAGGAAGAGTACCAAAAATAATCAGTCCTGGTGAAAAATACACAGAAGACACAATAAAGGGCTGTAGTGTGGGTAGAGTTTGTGTTCCTTCTATTTGACAAGAAAGGTCTTAGTTAATTGGCCAAAACTAGTCTAAGAAAAAAGAGAACTATGTAAAACCTCCCCTCTCAAGATGCATCCCTGAAGTAAACTGGTTCCAAGCTACTCCAACTTGCAGAGATGCCTAAATTCTTTACATTCATTTTGCTTTAGTTGAGGAATATCCTGGGGCTTTACTAGAGTCATATTCTCTCTAGTGATTGATTAAAAAGGAAACAGACCTCTAAGGCATCCTAATTATGAATTAATTATGTCACTGTTTCATTAATAGAAACAGCCAAATAAAGAAACACACTGGCATTGTTTGATAGAACACTCTAAGGCTCAGATCCTCTGAATTCAAGAATCTCCAAATCTGAGGTCAGAAGACAGGGTAGCCCTGGATCCAAGACTAGAGCTGCAAAAGCTCACATTTCAATACCACTGTCTCCTCCAGGAAGCCAGAATTAATTGGCTCTGCTGGAAAGTTCAAATAGAATAACCTACTGTGATATCAGGTAGTCTTAGGAAAGAAAAGCAGCCAATCTAGACTATCTTGCAGAGATCCTACCTACAACTTCTCAGTTTGCAGAGTAGCATTTGTTGGGGCCTTCAAAGGAAGAATTGCCAAATTTGTCAATCAAATTGATAGAAATGGTACAGCTTGCAAGCTGGCCAATGGCTATCTCCAACAAGAACATCAAAGACATAAAGTGCATAAAAAGGATTCTAAGAAAACTACTGGCCCCACTGAGTCTCCCAAATATCTTCCTGGAAAGCAAAACCAAACCCAACATACTTTTCCATCACAATGTTTACCATCAACACCACAATCATCTTGCTACAGTCAGTAGTAAGAGTGTCTGCAGTATTCCAAGCCTCACCCCAGTTCCCAGCCCACAAAATCCATTTTGTAAAAATTGCCCAGGAAAACTGCCTTGAGTCAGAGAGTTTTTCAAAAATACATGATAGAAGGCAGGGCACAGTGGCTCAGGCCAAGACGAGCAGATAACTTGAGGCCAGGAATTCGAGACCAGCCTGGCTAACATGGTGAAATACCATCTCTACTAAAAATACAAAACTTAGTATTTGTACAAAAATTGGCTGGGTGTGGTGGTGCACACCTGTAATCCCAGCTATTTGGGAGGCTGAGGAACAAGAGTCGCTTGAACCCGAGAGGCGAAGGTTGCAATGAGCCGAGATCGCGCCATTGCACTCCAGCCTGGGTGCCAAGAGCAAGACTTTGTCTCAATAAATAAATAAATAAATAAAAATAAATAATAGAGTAACTGAGATTTCAATCTGTGGCTTCATTAACAATATATATCATGCTTCAAGGAACCCACCTGAACACTGTACACATTTATCTCAATATAAACAAAACACTGTGATAGTTTAGTTCTGCTGCTTATGACTCCATTATCTCACTGCATAACCACAAAATACTACATGGGGCCTCCGTGTTAAGTAAAATTAACACCCAATGCTTTCACTTTTGTATCACAGTTCCGTTTGAAGCAGCAACTTGAAGCAAAACATAGAATAAACTATTACCTTGCTGAATACAAAATTGAGCCAACCCTTTTTCCTTTTCCAACAAGACTGCTATACTTAAGCGTTTTTTCTAAAATTATTGACCTTAAACAAAACCAGAATATCAGAGTAGCCTTTGAACAGAACCTGAACCAAATCAATATTTCATTCAGTTCCAATTCCTGGCTTAAAATATCCATCAACAACCTTAGTGTGCAGACTGGATTTCATCCAATTAAAGGATCTATATTCTCTACAGTCTGCTAAATCCATGGGCTATAAAAGCTGTACCATGTTCTTTTTTTTTCTTAAACATATTAGAGATAGATAGACATAGATAGATAGATAGATAGATAGATAGATAGATAGATAGATAGACAGACAGACAGACAGACAGACAGATTTTCTAATCACACAATAATTCAGGATACATTCTTAACATAAACAACTCAAGCAATGTGGAGTATACAACTAAAACTTGAAAGTCCTCCTTCACCCCTCCCTTCTAATTCTGTTCCTTCCCCAGAGAAATTCACCACTAACACTTTGGTAAATATCCTTCCTCTTCTTGGATTGTGACTGTATCTCTAATTTTTGAGCTCTAGCTTCTGAAATTTGGGAACAGGGCAATCCAGTACAGTATGAATTTAATCTTTCAGCTTACGCATGACAAAGATGAAATTCTTAGCTGTACCAGACCAGACACCAACCAGAACATGGTCATATTATCCACAGGCCAACTCACTCCAAGTAAAGAGGTAAGATACAAAAACATCTGGAAGAGATATATTCCCTGTGTTCTTTGGTTTCAAATGGCCAAAGAGGCAATGGTATCATGAGGCTAGGGTAAGCTAAGGAGCTGCCCAGTGTGTGTTTTGATTCAGCTGAGTGGGCAGGGGCCGGGGATAGACTTCTATAACCTTAGCAGCAAGTGACCTGTTCTAACCAAAGTCACAGGCCTGACTTCCCCTAAAGCTGCCCTCTTCTCCCATTAAGGAATGATAGCGTCACCAAGTAGAAGGGTTGTCCCAGATGGCAGAGATTCAACAAGCTAGCCAATGCTGCTGTAAGGCACTGTGAAAGTAGTCAAGGGACTCTCTCATCTCCAGTGCTATGGCAGGATGCTAAAGCCACATTGTACCTTTTAACAGGTCTCATTAATCACAAGCCCATCTCCTGCTTACCCTCTTGGTTTCCTTTCTGTAAAGGAGAAGAAATAACAATGCCTTTATCACAGGGTTGTTCTAAAGATAAATGAAGATAGTATATGTAAAAAGCACAAAAGGCAATATTGTTCAAAGTCCACCTCTTATCCCCTCCTCTCCCTGACAAATTTGCAACTTTGTAGGCTTGGCAGATAAATTATTATTTTTACTTATTCTGTGATTTGTGTTTCTGAGATCTTTACGATAATTTTATGGCTGGAGCTCAGTTCCAAAAATAAAACATGGTATAGCCATGCAAGTCCATTTCAGGTTTATTTTTATTATTATTAAAACAGTATTTGAAACCTACAGCAGACTTTGTGGTTTCTCTTGAACAATTCTCTCAATCAAAGCATTAACATGTCTCCTACAAAGCTACATCTAAACAACCAGCTCTTTTCAGTTTATATTCTAAAGGTCAGGCAGTAAGGATTATTTTTTACAGCAGCCATTTCAACGGAGAAGAACAAAGCCGCAACACGCAGGAACTAAAGCAGCCCAGCTCCTGCCCAGAGAGGAACCAAGGGCAGGTTTTCCAACACCACTACTCTTCAAAGGACCGAGAAAATGACTTCCAGAAGCGTCCTGGTAACTACACTGTCCAGCTCACAAACACGTCTGGGGATTGTAAATTCCCAACACTAGGCAAGACCTGACACTAGGTTATCTGTCTCCATGGCAATCTCACCACGTTAATGGAGAATATTCCCTGCACTGCAGTGGACCAATTCTCTGGAGAAGCCCCCACATGGTGATTATGGAATAACTGATTCTAACAAGGAAGACAGCTGCAAACAGACCCTAGAGAAATAACGCCCTGAACTCTGATGGTGGGAGAAGGAGAAAAAGACCACCAAAGGAAGATTAGCATCTATTTTGAGTCTCCCTCTTTGCATTAAAAGCAGATTTCTCTTAGTTTAGCCCCGGAGGCTTATACCTGCTGTCTATAGGAAAAGAGCTCATAATATTGTAAAGCATCTGAAAGGCCTCCCCACACACATACACACACACACACACACACACACACACACACACACACTGGAAACCTTCCCCTTCTTTAAATAAGCATCCTGGCATTTACTATCGTCAGATGTAATTACCTTTAAGGACTAAAAAGATTTGTGTTTACATAGGAGCATTCACTGAAGCATACCTATAAGGCTTACAGAGCATTCTAATTATAAAATAAAAACTCCCAGAGGGCGTAAATAACATTTCTACAAAAAATAGAAATCCATCAACGGCAACAGATGAGAATGACACACTAATCAAAAATTCTCATTAGGGCTATTAAAATTTCTAAAATAGGTTTTTGGGTTTTTTTTTAAAGAAAGAAAACCATTAGACTGCCAGTAATTCATTAAAACTTCACACATGAAATAGCAACAAGCTAGTTATCCTTTTCATAAGTTGAGTTCCTAAAGCCTCAGGAGAACACAGAAAGGTAATTGCATTCTCTCAGTAACTCCAGAGCAGAGATTTGCTGGTTACTCACAGCTTCCGCCAGGAACCACAGCAGATCTGGCAAACGAGGTGCTTTCTTTTAATTCCAATTAAATAGGCCCAGTGGCAGACCTAATGGTAGGTAATTTCTGTATCAAAGAAACTAAAAGGAAATCTTTAAGTTGCCAGATGGGTGAGAGCAGCTGGCTACAAGATGTCATTATATAAATGTGATGTTAAAAAAAAAATCATTCTTTTATGAGATTATTTTGCATGCAAATAGCATCTTTCACCCTCATTCCTAAAAACACTGTAAGCAGCTTAAAACATCCTCTAATCCCTTCTAGAGCGATTTTCTAATAAACTGGTCACCTGGGACTCTGCATCCTCCTTACATTCATGACCACCTGAACAGGCCACAACATTCTCTTAGTAGACAGACGGTATTTCTATTACAGAGTTTGGTTGTGTTCTCAAAAGCAAGCAGAGGGCCTAGTAAATTAGATCGCTCCAATGAAATGCTAATTTCTGAGAGTCCATTATAATCATGGATCTAAGAAGGGAGCCAGCATCTTCGAAGATTTAATGCTAAAAGAGCAAATTGTGTTCCAATTGTGGTGGTCCCAAAGTTCCACAAAGCCCCAAATCAGACTAGAGGCTACAGATTTAGCTAGTTACTGAACCATGTCTGCTGGCCTCACAGGTTTTGAACTGGATGAACAAATCTGCGTTAGAGACTGCCGATTTTTCCACACTTTCTCAGCCTGTGATGAAATCATTTCTTTGCATGACTTCAGCAGATAAGGTAAATCTATATCCACTGTTTTTTAATCTTATAGGCAATTATTCAAGAGAAGAAAATCTGCAGATACACCAGTTTGTCAGGTCATTTCCTTGTTCTGACACCTGGATTTTCAGGTCCTCCTTTTTCTGACTTAAATCACTGTAAAAAATTATTTTTCAAGTGCAAAATTCAAAGTATCAGAAGACAGCATGTGTGAAGACTGACCTGGCAGCAACAGGAAGCCATGCATCCAGACTTCACCCCTCCCTCCCCATCCTCCTGTCAAGAGTTTTCCTGATGGATTGGGAGGAGGTTAGCATGAGCTGGAGCTGTAATTCACTCTGAATCCAACTATTTAACTCTATCTCCATATATAGGATTGTTCGAGTCTCTCCCGCACATATGAGCAACAAAGCAATAGAGCTTTAAAAAAAATTCCATTTTCTGGCAACTGCCCCACTCCATCCTATCTGTTCCTTAAGCAAGCAGGCTGAACAAATCTCCGTGAGGCTAAAGAGCCAACAGAGCCTCCAGATTCGAAGAAAGACCAGCCATCGATATCGGCCCACAAGATGTCACTAGTAGATTGTGGTGAACATTTGTTGCTTTTCAGCCACTCGACACCCATTCTTAGAAAATAGCACCTCAACTTCCTTTTAAGGAATTAGCCCCCTAAACTGCATGCAGTCTTCATCAGACAATGTATCAAAGTGCCCTGCCCTTCCCCAGCCAAGGCACACCAGCAAGCACAGTATTCCCACTTCTATCCTGGGCCTCTGCTTCTCCAACATAATCACATACAGAAGGGAAAAAGCATTAATTCCAGGTGTGGCCACTTAAGAGACCTGCCTGTCTCTGCTGCCTGTATCCCTGAAGCAGCCCCAGCCTACACTTGTCGGAGCCTGTTGCCTCTGCTTTGGAGTCTGCGAATCATTCGTATCCTTCTAACACATTCTCTTTTTGCTTTAGCCAGGCAGTGTCAATTCCTGTCGTTTGCAATCCAAGGATCCTAACTAGCACCCTGGGGAACGGAACCAGGCCAGTGGGTGGCTCTCCTTAGCCACATGCACATGCCCGGAGTTATCCTGCCTCCATGGCAATGTCAGAAAGGAATTAAAGCTTAGTGTAGTATATGTGATATGAGCCACAAGCCGCCTTCTGAGAATCAAGGTTCAACAGTGCCCAGAGGAGAAAACTGCTAGGCCTGCATTCTGAAGTGGCCCCTGTCTTACCTGGAGCTGCTATAAGAAAGTACCATAGACTGGGTGGCTTATAAAGAATTTATTACTTACAGTTCTGGAGGCTAGAAGTCCAAGATCAGAGTGCCAACATGATCTTGGCACTTGGTAAGGGCCCTCTTCGGGGTTTGCAGATGGCATCTCATTATAGTCTTACATAGTGGAGACCAGAGGGAAGGAAGCTCTCTCAGAACTCACAGGACACTAATGCCATTCATGAGAGTCCATCCTCAGAACCCAATCACCTCCCAAAGGCCCCACCTCCTACTATCACCACCTTAGGGGTTAAGATTTCAACATATGAATTTGGATGGGCACAAAACATTCAATCTATAGCATGCATCAAGCTACAAAGGGTTGAAAATTGGTACAGGTGGAGGTGTGGGGGAGGGCGAGAGCAACCTCTAGGCATGTAATAGTGCAGTATTTCACCAATTTTGAATGACATAAGGCAGGGCATGCCCTGTCCTGTGGCACAGTCCCAACACTGCCAGCTGGATCAAACTTACCTCTTTTCAGTTATCTCCATTATCTGCCTGCACCTGATCTGTAGTTGATTTCCTACTCCTTTGTATTGTTACTTCATTCTATGTAACAGCAAGTAGGAAAAAGCACAAGCATGTGTGTGTGTGCGCGCGCGCACACACACACACACACTTTGCTACACATACCCCTTCCTTGCTCTCCAGCAGCTGAAGTATAGCAGCCAAACTCTTAAATTATAAATACCATGCAAAGAAAGAAATCTTTTTCCCAGGAGACTGCACACAATTGACAAGGCCTCTTTAACTCGTGGAGACTGCCATGTGGAAATATCAATACCCAGGAAATGTTGAGGGGAGCTAAGTAGCCACCTTCTGTAAGTTTAGAACCAATGTGTGTGTCAAGTTTCAAAGGAAAGTTGGCAATATCCTGCCACTCTGGTTTTAGTGAAGGGCACTTCTGCTTTTTCAGTCCACATCTCAAAAGCCCAGCTCTCACGTTTACACACACCAGCCATGCCCTCATTATCACCAGCTATGCCCTCATTATCTTCTGCTCTGAAGAATTAGGACTGACACGTGGGGAGACCATGGAAGGGCTTCCAGTGCCCCTTTTTTTGGCGTGATATTTATTACACTCATCTAACTGGCCCTGCCCACAAATCATTCTGCTAACTTGATGAGCAGGCTGTGCAGACAGTAGAAAGAGAATGAACTTTAGAGTCAGGCCCACTCAGTTCAGATCGCAGCTTTACCAGAGACTGATCCACTTGGGGACGTTTTCAGACCTGTCATTCATGGTCACAAGAGCTACTTGAGGATTAAATGCCCAGCCTCAGAATGTAACAAAAAGCCTGGCCTGGTCTGTTGTCCCTGTAACGTCCACTGGCACATAGCATGAGACGCAGAGTTACTGTTTGAGGTAGCTCTGCCCCCTCCATGGGACAAAGGACCTCTCCCCACCTCCTCACTGCCCCTCACTACTCTCCTTCTCGCCTGAAACTTACATCACTAAAGTCAGTTCTCTACCTTTAAGAACTTTGCCCCTAGAAAAATCACCTTTAAATACAAATGTTAGCTGGGGAGGAAAGGAGAGTTCTGCGGAATCCCTCCAATTCCCTTCTCCCATCACAACCAGTGGTGACGTGGCAATGGGGTTGCTGGGGGCCTCTCAGACTCTCTCTGTCTTCTCTTCTTTCTCTGTAGTCCAAAGGGCCCTCACACCTACCTATGCCTTCAATTACTACCAAAAGACTGATGACTCCAACTCAAGCAGATCCTCTGAGCTCCAGACCCTCAGACCTAACTTCTTATCTGAATAATGTTCCCCTGGATGTTCCACGGGGACCCTAAACTCCCTCCTCCCTCACCCCTGGTTCTCCTCCAGCATCCCCAGTCTTAGAGAATGGTCTCACCCTCCATCCAACTCGGCAAGCCAGAAAACACAGTTGTCATTGAAACCTCCCTCTCCCATAGCCAACCCCTCACCACACCCGGCTAATTTCTCCTCCTAAATATCTCTCAGGTTCATCCATTTCTCTCCCTTCCTACTACCCTGTCACTTCAATACCGTCATCTCATCCCTGGAAGACCACCCCAGCTCCCAGCCCTCCTCTCCGACCTGCAGTCCACTCTCCAATACAGCCAATGGATCTTCAAAAATGCGAAGGTATGACTTGCAGCTTAACACCCTTGACCAAAATCCTGAAGACAGGAGAGCCCCGCCTATCCCTCGAGCCCATCTCAGGCCAGTGCTCCCTGCTGGCCTATGTCCTCCATTCTCGGAGCCCCCACCTCACCTCATGCCCCCTATTTTGCCTGGCTAACTGCGCTTCTCACAGATACTAATCTCTACATTGCATATTCAAGGAACCCTTCACTGGCTTCTCAGTCAAGGTCAGGGCCCCCTGTTGTATAACTCTTGGCACCTGTGCTTTCACTTCTTGGTATGCAGCGTGGACTACCATCATACATTTATTGGTGAGGACTGGCATTTACCTTCCTCCCCGCTCAGACCGTCCTGAGGGAAGAGACCACATCTGACTGCCCACCCTTTAATCTCCAGCACCTGCATTAAGCATATGTTTGCTTCCCATACATTTATTGGAGGTCTACTCTGTGCCAGAGTATATCATCATACATTATTTTCCCCAAATTATGTAACTTAAAGGCTCATGTAGGATCTCACCCAAGAGGGCACAGAAAACAGCACATTTCTTTCTCTTTTTTTTTTTTTTGAGATGGAGTTTTGCTCTTTTTGCCCAGGCTGGAGTACAATGGTGGGTTCTCGGCTCACTGCAACCTCCGCCTCCAGGGTTCAAGCGATTCTCCTGCCTCAGCCTACTGAGTAGCTGGGATTACAGGCATGCGCCACCACACCTAGCTAATTTTGTATTTTTAGTAGAGACAGGGTTTCTCCATGTTGGCCAGGCGGGTCTCGAACTCCCGACCTCAGGTGATCTGCCCACCTCGGCCACCCAAAGAGCTGGGAGAAAACAGTACATTTCTAAGGAGATTCGCAAGGTGTTCGAAGAGTGACAGTTAAAATGATGTCCAAGTAAAGAGGCCAAAAACAGGACTGAGTGCCCAAAAGATGCTAAGCATGATGGTGAGTCAGGCAAACAAGGCAATGGGCAGATCCCAGAGGATGGCATTTGATGAGGGATGGAGAACTGCAAGGTTAAAGTTTGGCAAGAGATGCAAAATGATGGGGGAAAAAAGGTTCATTGCCCACCCTGTAATGTTTCTAAAGCCAGCACCCCCAATCCTTTACCAAAAGGCTTTACTGAATGTCCTGGTCACCCAACAGAGAACTGACCTGGAGGATTCCCGAAATAAAACTTCATATGGCTACTCCCCACCTTGCCAACTACTGCTCCCGACTCTCCCATTCCTGCCAAATTGCAAAGAATCATCCACCAGCCTCAGGTGCTGAATTATTCAATTATTCTAGTAGCTTTCCAAACACGTGTGCTGCTAGAAAATCTTTCAAAAATAAAAGAATCATGTTATTTAGACTACTAGGTCATTTTTGAAACCTGTCTTGAATTCTCGTTTGCCACGTAATTGTTTTTCTATTAAACAATAGCTCATTGACACCCCACCCTTACTAGCAAAAAGCAGTGGCAAACGTGTAATCACAAGACAATCTGCTGCAGTTACAGTCAGCATTACCTCCCAATCCTGCACAACAGCCCCCGGGCTCCTACCCTTACCCAAAGCTGAGGTACAGCTGCAGCACCTAAAATACTGAACACAGCAGCAGAGGACCTGAAGAACAACTTCCAACTATCCGCCATTCCCCTACACACACACCAACCTGCCTTATTTTAGTTAAAAAGAAAAAAAAAAAAAGCCTTCTACCTTCTAACCTACGTCACAATGCTAAAATCACTAAAATAATCTGTCTGCACTTAGATCTGGAAACCCCTCTTAACACCTCACCCACAACCCACCCACCCACTGCATGTCAGCTCTCTGAGATATTTTCTCCCAGTAGAACAAACCAAAGAAAATGTTTTGGGGAAGAAGGAAAACGAGTCACGAACCAAGCCTTTAAGACTCCATTTTAGCACAGGGCTCCTTTGAGAGCCCTATATTTCTGGCATGAAGATGAGTTCAGCCAAAAAATGCAAGTATTTGCCAGAGGTAGACTTTTAACCCCAAACCAGTAATAAAACTCACATAGGAGAGAATGACATTTTTCATTTAAGTCAAAAGCAGTCTGAGCCACTAAGTCTCAGGCACTTTCCTCTAACCTACAAATAGGGGTACCAGCAAGTTATTACAATATTAGATAGAGTGCATCTCATTGGAAGCAGATTAAGGCAGCCTTGCAGATAATCACTGGTCCACACTAACAATGCATGCTAGCCAAGTGATGGGATGGGGATGGTGCCTGTGTTAGGGACTAAGAAAACATCTGCTTGTTCATACAGGTTGTTGCCAGGAGGAATCAAGCTGCACCATTGCCCCAACTTTCCCAAGTGTCTCCCAGGATGCCAACAGTCACAAGAAAAAGAAAGCACACACACGGCCAGGCACGGTGGCTCACGTTTATAATCCCAGCACTTTGGGAGGCCAAGGTGGGTGGATCACTTGAGGTCAGGAGTTCAAGACCAGCCTGGCCAACATGGTAAAACCTCATCTCTACTAAAAAAAAAAAAAAAAATTACAAAAATTAGCCAGGTGTGGTGGTGCACGCCTGTAATCCCAGCTACTCGGGAGGCTGAGCCAGGAGAATGGCTTGAACCCTGGAGGCAGAGGTTGCGGTGAGCCAAGATCACGCCACTGCACTCCAGCCTGAGTGACAGAGAGAGACTCTGTCTCAAAAAAAATAAAAATAAAAAAAGCACACACTCATGCCTCACTCTTCCTCCTTACTTTTCCTTACCATTCCTCCACCTGTTTAGCTCCATCTCCAGATGCTGGATAACATTCTTCAAAGTCTTGTTTTTCTCTTTCTCTTTTTCATATTTCTTCTTCCATTCTTCTGCTGTCAGTTCTAGGTTCACAGAGACTGTATTCTTGATGGTCTTAGCTCTGGGATTAAAAACATAAGGGGACAATTCAGCTAATTATTACCATTAGCTAAACCAATATGATTAAGCCCAAGATTCCTCATGTCAAAAGACTGGAAATAGGGAAGCAGAAGGGATCCTGTGGCTTTCACCAACCATCCTCCTAATTGGACTAACGGCACCACTAACCCTTGAGGCCTCAAGCTCATCCTTTCCTTTTCTCCTTCACATCCCACTGGTCTCTAAATCTAATGAACATTTATTCGAATTGTCTCAGGGTTTCCTCTTTCTCTCTTCCCTCTGCCACTGTCTTAGTCTGTGTTCTCAGCCATCCTTATGGTTACAGCCTTTTTCAAATGTTCAGTACCCTCCTTTAAGCCCCCTGCATACCATCACCAGATTTACCTGCCTAAGTTGAGGTTCTTTTCAGTTCAATTAACATTTATGAATTTGGGGTACACCAAGACAGATAGACGAGGTCTCTGTCCTCTTGGAGACTGCAGTTTCTTATACCAATGATACACAGACAGAAATAATAGAATCAATTATTTCTCTTCCTCACCTGTGGTACCCAAAACCACCCCTGATGTATTTATCACATCAACACATGCCTCATAGGTCAGGTGGGTCCCACAGCTGAGTAAGGCTGGCCAGAGGACACCATGGCTCCCTGCTGAGCACACACCCGCACCCCCCATCACAGCCCGTCATCACCATGCGGTGAGGAGGCCCCACAGTATTCAGATCATCCTATTTTCCAAGAAAAATCAGAAACTGTTTTTTCTTTAATTTGTGTCTCCCAGTTTTAAACTATTTATAAAAACAATGTGTGGGACAAACAAACATGCCTAATGGCCACCATTTTGCCACTTCCAGTATAAGAGATGATGCGATCTCTGGGGCACATGGCCTGGGGGGTTGAGATGCCACAGGGATGTACCTGGAGAGTAACCCAAAGGGGCAACTGTGGAGAGCAAATCAGTAGCTGCACCAAGTGATACCAAAAACAAAAGCCATGACTCAGCTCAGCATGCACAGAAACGAACACCTAAGTGGCCTTGTCCAATTAAAAAGGAAACTCCACTTAGGCTTACTTTCAAGAAGGTAAAGCTTCATTAAAAAATATGTGATATCCTGTTTTATTTGCTATTGACTTTTTCATTTTGAACTTCCAACAGTTCTTACACCGTCATATTTGCCAGCACAATCTGATTTGTGATTCGGGTTAATTACCGTTGTCAGCAAATGACATCCTGATTTCTATTTCAGTGCAAGAAATTCAGCAGTCCTCACCAGCACTACAGATGTCATTCCAAAAATTCATTGCTAAAGCAGACAACTAAATAACCCAACTGTCAAAAGAGGAGTTTAACAACTTCAATGTAAGACTCCATTTAAGAATTAGGATAACTCTCTCTTGTTCACTGTAGCTTGAGGCTGCAATCCCTAGAAGTGCTTTGAGTCTAATTTTTCAAATAACAGCAATTTTATTACTACTTTAAAGTCTGGTCCTGTTTGACACTCTCACCTCTCCTCCTGACATCCTCAGGCAGTACTGTGGATGCTTCTCAGATGCAAGCACAAACATTACAAGCATCCATTATCAACTTAGTAAGGCAAAAAGTGAAAAATAACTCATGGCTAAAATGCTTATGGACACTTAAGGGCACACTTCAAGGCTACTAATCTTACTTTTTAAATCATAAAGAGTCCCTTGATAACTTCACATGATACCAGAAAGAGAAAGCTAAAGCCTCTATGCTATACTCAGGCAGGTTTAGCCAGAGGCATATTTTGTGAGCAGACTCAGCAAGGTTATCACCATTGGTGTAACTGGTCCTCATTCTCAAAATACTTTTAACAATTGCCTAGGAAATCCCCACTTCTGTAGTAATCGGGGTCCTGGAAGGAAACAGACCACCTGCTCAAATTGCATGATTTGAAGAGTGCTTAACAAAGGTTTGGAAAGGTGTTGGGAAATAACAAGGGTTAATGTGGTACCCACATTAGGGACTGGGGAGCCATTACTACCCTTAAGCTGAAGGGGAGCCAGAGAGAGAAGGCTAGAAGGAAAAGATTGCCTGGTAGGTATGAATTGTCACAGCCATTGGTAGGGACACAGCCAACCCAAAATGATCTGGCAGGGAAGAAGCCAGGAAATAAATACCCGGACCTCACGCTCTTCTCTCCTTCTGATCGCCTGCCTGTGTTCCTTCCCCACGGGTGTAACATAACTGGAAGCCAGAGGAAAAGGAGCCCATTGCATGAGCCCAAACCAGTCACCCTCCTAAGTCACAAAGCAGGACAGAGATGGTGCAGAAAAGATCCAGAGGAGTAGCTAAAGATGCGCAACCCAACTTCCATTTGGAACTCAAATAACAGTGGGAATCTGTGTCTCACACTGGAGCCCGAGACTTCATTCAGCCCAAATGGGGCAAGCGGGGCCTTCACATCCACTAAAGGTAGAATATGAAAAAATCAGCTTACACTGAGAGAGAAAGATGTTAATTCTCCTAAAATTGCTCTAGAGAATTAAAGTAATCCCCACCTTCCCCCAAAAAAACCCTAAGGGGTTTGTGTATGTGTATAGAAATTGGCAAGCTGATTCTGAAATTTATAATAGAAATGAAAAAAAAAAGAATAGCAAGGACAGTTCTGAAGATCAAAGTTAGAGGATTGAACATCATCACTTTCTTATAAAGTAAAACTGATCAAATTGTCAGAAATCTTGGAATAAAAACAGAATAAATTGTCCAGAAACAGGCACTCAGATGACAGTCATCTGACTTATGACAAAAGTGTCCATAGAGAAGAGTGGAAAGGGCAGTCCTTTCAATACATGGCACTGAGGGGAAGTGGAACTTTATTCCTCACCCCCAATACCATGTAAAAAATTCTGTTCCAGAGAGATCCCAGACATAAATGTGAAAAGTAAAACAATAAAGCTTCCACAGAAAATATAGGACAGTATCTTCAAGACCTTGGGGTAGGCAAAGTTTTTTTTTTTTTGAGACAGAGTCTCACTCTGTTGCCCAGGCTGGAGTGCAGTGGCACAATCTCGGCTCACTGCAACCTCTGCCTCCCGGGTTCAAGTGATTCTCCTGCCTCAGCCTCCCGAGTAGCTGGGACTACAGGCGCCCGCCACCACGCCCAGCTAATTTTTTTGTATTTTTAGTAGAGACAGGGTTTCACCATGTTGGCCAGGCTGGTCTCAAAATCCTGACCTCTGGTGATCCGCCTACCTCAACCTCCCAAAGTGCTGGGATTGCAGGCATGAGCCACCGTGCCTGGCCAAAGATTTCTTAAATAGAACATAAAAGAAAAAATAAATTTGACTTCATTAAAATTAAAAACTTGTCTTCATTAGAAGCCACCATTAAGACAGTTAAAAGGCAAGTTACAAGGTGGGAGAAGATATATAAAATACATATACCTGACAAAGGACTTACCCAAAATAACTGCTTTAAATCAATAAGAAAAAACTGGGCAAAGACTTGGAACAGGCACTTTATAAAAGAAGTGCCAATAAAACACCTCCTGAAAAGGTGTTTAACATCATTAGCCTTCAGGGAATGCAAATTAAAACTACAATGAGATACCTTCCCACACCCAATAGAATGGCTAAAAAATTTAAAACTGATAATGCCAACTGTTGCTGAGAATGAGCAATGACTATAACAGTCAACTACTACTGGAGAGAGTGTGAATTATTACTGTCGTTTTGGAAAAATCTTTAGTAGTATCTACTAAAGTAGAATATTTCACACCTTATGACCTGCTCCCACCTAACAGAAATGAGGACATATATTCACCCAAAGGCATGACAACCAATGTCATAGTAACTTTATTTATAATCACCCCAACATGAAAATAATCCAAATATCCATCAACAATAGAATGGATACCTATAAGCCATATTCATACAATAGAATACTATATAACTGTGAAAAATGAACTACTACTACACCTAACAATGTAGATGAAGTTCACAGATAAAACGCTGTATGAAAGAAGCCAGATACGGGGAGGAGCCAAAATGGCCGAATAGGAACAGCTCCGGTCTACAGCTCCCAGCGTGAGCGACGCAGAAGACGGTGATTTCTGCATTTCCATCTGAGGTACCGGGTTCATCTCACTAGGGAGTGCCAGACAGTGGGCGCAGGCCAGTGTGTGTGCGCACCGTGCGCGAGCCGAAGCAGGGCGAGGCATTGCCTCACCTGGGAAGCGCAAGGGGTCAGGGAGTTCCCTTTCCGAGTCAAAGAAAGGGGTGACGGACGCACCTGGAAAATCGGGTCACTCCCACCCGAATATTGCGCTTTTCAGACCGGCTTAAGAAACGGCGCACCACGAGACTATATCCCACACCTGGCTCGGAGGGTCCTACGCCCACGGAATCTCGCTGATTGCTAGCACAGCAGTCTGAGATCAAACTGCAAGGCGGCAACGAGGCTGGGGGAGGGGCGCCCGCCATTGCCCAGGCTTGCTTAGGTAAACAAAGCAGCCGGGAAGCTCGAACTGGGTGGAGCCCACCACAGCTCAAGGAGGCCTGCCTGCCTCTGTAGGCTCCACCTCTGGGGGCAGGGCACAGACAAACAAAAAGACAGCAGTAACCTCTGCAGACTTAAGTGTCCCTGTCTGACAGCTTTGAAGAGAGCAGTGGTTCTCCCAGCACGCAGCTGGAGATCTGAGAACGGGCAGACTGCCTCCTCAAGTGGGTCCCTGACTCCTGACCCCCGAGCAGCCTAACTGGGAGGCACCCCCCAGCAGGGGCACACTGACACCTCACACGGCAGGGTATTCCAACAGACCTGCAGCTGAGGGTCCTGTCTGTTAGAAGGAAAACTAACAACCAGAAAGGACATCTACACCGAAAACCCATCTGTACATCACCATCATCAAAGACCAAAAGTAGATAAAACCACAAAGATGGGGAAAAAACAGAACAGAAAAACTGGAAACTCTAAAACGCAGAGCGCCTCTCCTCCTCCAAAGGAACGCAGTTCCTCACCAGCAACAGAACAAAGCTGGATGGAGAATGATTTTGACGAGCTGAGAGAAGAAGGCTTCAGACGATCAAATTACTCTGAGCTACGGGAGGACATTCAAACCAAAGGCAAAGAAGTTGAAAACTTTGAAAAAAATTTAGAAGAATGTATAACTAGAATAACCAATACAGAGAAGTGCTTAAAGGAGCTGATGGAGCTGAAAACCAAGGCTCGAGAACTACGTGAAGAATGCAGAAGCCTCAGGAGCCGATGCGATCAACTGGAAGAAAGGGTATCAGCAATGGAAGATGAAATGAATGAAATGAAGCGAGAAGGGAAGTTTAGAGAAAAAAGAATAAAAAGAAATGAGCAAAGCCTCCAAGAAATATGGGACTATGTGAAAAGACCAAATCTACGTCTGATTGGTGTACCTGAAAGTGATGTGGAGAATGGAACCAAGTTGGAAAACACTCTGCAGGATATTATCCAGGAGAACTTCCCCAATCTAGCAAGGCAGGCCAACGTTCAGATTCAGGAAATACAGAGAACGCCACAAAGATACTCCTCGAGAAGAGCAACTCCAAGACACATAATTGTCAGATTCACCAAAGTTGAAATGAAGGAAAAAATGTTAAGGGCAGCCAGAGAGAAAGGTCGGGTTACCCTCAAAGGAAAGCCCATCAGACTAACAGCGGATCTCTCGGCAGAAACCCTACAAGCCAGAAGAGAGTGGGGGCCAATATTCAACATTCTTAAAGAAAAGAATTTTCAACCCAGAATTTCATATCCAGCCAAACTAAGCTTCATAAGTGAAGGAGAAATAAAATACTTTATAGACAAGCAAATGTTGAGAGATTTTGTCACCACCAGGCCTGCCCTAAAAGAGCTCCTGAAGGAAGCGCTAAACATGGAAAGGAACAACCGGTACCAGCCGCTGCAAAATCATGCCAAAATGTAAAGACCATCGAGACTAGGAAGAAACTGCATCAACTAATGAGCAAAATCACCAGCTAACATCATAATGACAGGATCAAATTCACACATAACAATATTAACTTTAAATATAAATGGACTAAATTCTGCAATTAAAAGACACAGACTGGCAAGTTGGATAAAGAGTCAAGACCCATCAGTGTGCTGTATTCAGGAAACCCATCTCACGTGCAGAGACACACATAGGCTCAAAATAAAAGGATGGAGGAAGATCTACCAAGCCAATGGAAAACAAAAAAAGGCAGGGGTTGCAATCCTAGTCTCTGATAAAACAGACTTTAAACCAACAAAGATCAAAAGAGACAAAGAAGGCCATTACATAATGGTAAAGGGATCAATTCAACAAGAGGAGCTAACTATCCTAAATATTTATGCACCCAATACAGGAGCACCCAGATTCATAAAGCAAGTCCTCAGTGACCTACAAAGAGACTTAGACTCCCACACATTAATAATGGGAGACTTTAACACCCCACTGTCAACATTAGACAGATCAACGAGACAGAAAGTCAACAAGGATACCCAGGAATTGAACTCAGCTCTGCACCAAGCAGACCTAATAGACATCTACAGAACTCTCCACCCCAAATCAACAGAATATACATTTTTTTCAGCACCACACCACACCTATTCCAAAATTGACCACATAGTTGGAAGTAAAGCTCTCCTCAGCAAATGTAAAAGAACAGAAATTATAACAAACTATCTCTCAGACCACAGTGCAATCAAACTAGAACTCAGGATTAAGAATCTCACTCAAAGCCGCTCAACTACATGGAAACTGAACAACCTGCTCCTGAATGACTACTGGGTACATAACGAAATGAAGGCAGAAATAAAGATGTTCTTTGAAACCAACGAGAACAAAGACACCACATACCAGAATCTCTGGGACGCATTCAAAGCAGTGTGTAGAGGGAAATTTATAGCACTAAATGCCTACAAGAGAAAGCAGGAAAGATCCAAAATTGACACCCTAACATCACAATTAAAAGAACTAGAAAAGCAAGAGCAAACACATTCAAAAGCTAGCAGAAGGCAAGAAATAACTAAAATCAGAGCAGAACTGAAGGAAATAGAGACACAAAAAACCCTTCAAAAAATCAATGAATCCAGGAGCTGGTTTTTTGAAAGGATCAACAAAATTGATAGACCGCTAGCAAGACTAATAAAAAAAAAAAGAGAGAAGAATCAAATAGACACAATAAAAAATGATAAAGGGGATATCACCACCGATCCCACAGAAATACAAACTACCATCAGAGAATACTACAAACACCTCTACGCAAATAAACTAGAAAATCTAGAAGAAATGGATACATTCCTCGACACATACACTCTCCCAAGACTAAACCAGGAAGAAGTTGAATCTCTGAATCGACCAATAACAGGCTCTGAAATTGTGGCAATAATCAATAGTTTACCAACCAAAAAGAGTCCAGGACCAGATGGATTCACAGCCGAATTCTACCAGAGGTACAAGGAGGAACTGGTACCATTCCTTCTGAAACTATTCCAATCAATAGAAAAAGAGGGAATCCTCCCTAACTCATTTTATGAGGCCAGCATCATTCTGATACCAAAGCCGGGCAGAGACACAACCAAAAAAGAGAATTTTAGACCAATATCCTTGATGAACATTGATGCAAAAATCCTCAATAAAATACTGGCAAACCGAATCCAGCAGCACATCAAAAAGCTTATCCACCATGATCAAGTGGGCTTCATCCCTGGGATGCAAGGCTGGTTCAATATACGCAAATCAATAAATGTAATCCAGCATATAAACAGAGCCAAAGACAAAAACCACATGATTATCTCAATAGATGCAGAAAAAGCCTTTGACAAAATTCAACAACCCTTCATGCTAAAAACTCTCAATAAATTAGGTATTGATGGGACGTATCTCAAAATAATAAGAGCTATCTATGACAAACCCACAGCCAATATCATACTGAATGGGCAAAAACTGGAAGCATTCCCTTTGAAAACCGGCACAAGACAGGGATGCCCTCTCTCACCCCTCCTATTCAACATAGTGTTGGAAGTTCTGGCCAGGGCAATCAGGCAGGAGAAGGAAATAAAGGGTATTCAATTAGGAAAAGAGGAAGTCAAATTGTCCCTGTTTGCAGACGACATGATTGTTTATCTAGAAAACCCCATCATCTCAGCCCAAAATCTCCTTAAGCTGATAAGCAACTTCAGCAAAGTCTCAGGATACAAAATCAATGTACAAAAATCACAAGCATTCTTATACACCAACAACAGACAAACAGAGAGCCAAATCATGGGTGAACTCCCATTCACAATTGCTTCAAAGAGAATAAAATACCTAGGAATCCAACTTACAAGGGATGTGAAGGACCTCTTCAAGGAGAACTACAAACCACTGCTCAAGGAAATAAAAGAGGAGACAAACAAATGGAAGAACATTCCATGCTCATGGGTAGGAAGAATCAATATCGTGAAAATGGCCATACTGCCCAAGGTAATTTACAGATTCAATGCCATCCCCATCAAGCTACCAATGACTTTCTTCACAGAATTGGAAAAAACTACTTTAAAGTTCATATGGAACCAAAAAAGAGCCCGCATTGCCAAGTCAATCCTAAGCCAAAAGAACAAAGCTGGAGGCATCACACTACCTGACTTCAAACTATACTACAAGGCTACAGTAACCAAAACAGCATGGTACTGGTACCAAAACAGAGATATAGATCACTGGAACAGAACAGAGCCCTCAGAAATAATGCCGCATATCTACAACTATCTGATCTTTGACAAACCTGAGAAAAACAAGCAATGGGGAAAGGATTCCCTATTTAATAAATGGTGCTGGGAAAACTGGCTAGCCATATGTAGAAAGCTGAAACTGGATCCCTTCCTTACACCTTATACAAAAATCAATTCAAGATGGATTAAAGATTTAAACGTTAAACCTAAAACCATAAAAACCCTAGAAGAAAACCTAGGCATTACCATTCAGGACATAGGCGTGGGCAAGGACTTCATGTCCAAAACACCAAAAGCAATGGCAACAAAAGACAAAATTGACAAATGGGATCTAATTAAACTAAAGAGCTTCTGCACAGCAAAAGAAACTACCATCAGAGTGAACAGGCAACCTACAACATGGGAGAAAATTTTTGCAACCTACTCATCTGACAAAGGGCTAATATCCAGAATCTACAATGAACTCAAACAAATTTACAAGAAAAAAACAAACAACCCCATCAAAAAGTGGGCGAAGGACATGAACAGACACTTCTCAAAAGAAGACATTTATGCAGCCAAAAAACACATGAAGAAATGCTCATCATCACTGGCCATCAGAGAAATGCAAATCAAAACCACTATGAGATATCATCTCACACCAGTTAGAATGGCAATCATTAAAAAGTCAGGAAACAACAGGTGCTGGAGAGGATGCGGAGAAATAGGAACACTTTTACACTGTTGGTGGGACTGTAAACTAGTTCAACCATTGTGGAAGTCAGTGTGGCGATTCCTCAGGGACCTAGAACTAGAAATACCATTTGACCCAGCCATCCCATTACTGGGTATATACCCAAATGAGTATAAATCATGCTGCTATAAAGACACATGCACACGTATGTTTATTGCGGCACTATTCACAATAGCAAAGACTTGGAACCAACCCAAATGTCCAACAATGATAGACTGGATTAAGAAAATGTGGCACATATACACCATGGAATACTATGCAGCCATAAAAAATGATGAGTTCATATCCTTTGTAGGGACATGGATGAAATTGGAAACCATCATTCTCAGTAAACTATCGCAAGAACAAAAAACCAAACACCGCATATTCTCACTCATAGGTGGGAATTGAACAATGAGATCACATGGACACAGGAAGGGGAATATCACACTCTGGGGACTGTGGTGGGGTCGGGGGAGGGGGGAGGGATAGCATTGGGAGATATACCTAATGCTAGATGACACATTAGTGGGTGCAGCGCACCAGCATGGCACATGTATACATATGTAACTAACCTGCACAATGTGCACATGTACCCTAAAACTTAGAGTATAATAAAAAAAAAAAAAAAAAGAAATAAAAAAAAAAAAAAAAAAAAAAAAAAAAAAAAAAAAGAAGCCAGATACAAAACAGTACTGGGTGATTTCATTTTCAAATAATTCAAAGACAGGCAATAACAATCTATGTTGATGGAAGTTAGGGTGACAATTACCCTTGAGAGTTCGGTGTTGACTGAGAGGGTCAAAGAGAGAGGCTTCCAAGATCCTGGGTGGTGGTCACATGTGTATATATATTTATAAAAAAAAATTAGTTATGCACTTAAGTTTATGTATTTTACTATATTATATTCAATAAAAATTGAGTTAAGAAAAACAAACTGATGGAGAAAGAAATCAAGTCAGATACAAGAATTTCCAGATGCAGAATAAACTAGGGTTACTAAGAGAGATACTGAATTTTTGTGCCCTGAGGTTTATTGTTTTTTTTTTTTTTTTTTTTTTTTACTAGAACAAACATTCTCCTATCTAGGATGTTAAAAACAATCTTGCAAAGTGAAATAAAGAGGGTCTCAGTCTCTCATTCTCCCAAGAGACTAAGAGTAAAAGGATATAGAATATCTACAATTTCTTTTTCTTTTTACCATCAACTTTGGCAAATTTAGAGAATGAAGGAGCCTAATGATCACTAGCTTCTTTCTATTTGGACATTCAAAATTCACTTTCCCTTAATTAGCTTTAACTGATTTCAGAGGAAAAAAAGAAAAAAAAATCAGTTTCCTCCTTTGTTAATATCTAGCTAGTTGCCATCAATGCGGTTACACAGTGTTCTGCTGTCTTGTTGTGGTTTGGATCTAGGGCGTGAGGCTGCCAGTGAACATGATCCGGAACTTGGGCACAGGCCCACACGTGTGCATTTATTGTTCAGCCTTGTTTCCAAAAGAACTTCAGGTAGCTTACAGGGAGACACAAAATCAAGAAGACAGCAGAAATTAAGAAGTGCTCTTAAGGCAGGTTTTGTGATTTTGTCTAGCAGAAGCTATATACAGCAATTGTGATACCAACCAGCCTTATGGTTCCAGGACATTATCTCTTTGATATAGAGAAACAAGTCAATGACCCATAGAAGCCTTATTCTAGCCACTTACTGACTGCTCACTCATCCTCTTTAAAGGTGAAACTGGCTGTGATACTATTTGATTAATCCAAAGTGGCCTGATCATTCACAAAGAAATACAAAAGTGGGTTCTTCATTTCTAAAAACTCTCAGGGTTTTCAATCAGAGCCCTCAATGTATATACAGATATCAATGTCTATTCCACAAGTTATAACCGCAGCAGGAACTGAGCAAAATCCTAACCAAAGGCTACTCTGGGAAAGAACTTTAATTCAGTCCTAAGTTTATACCCTAACAGCAAGACCTGCTTTTAAAACTGAGTCAAATTGTGAGGATGCCATTATCAGGGAATCTGTTTTGCATCTTTTCCTTGTTTTGGCTTGCTTCAAGTCAAGCACTACTTTAATGATATATGATCTAGGCATGCCCCAGGTATAAAATCTCTTCTCCCCACAGGGAGGGAACCAGGACCAAATTTTTTAAAGACCTCAAAGCTAATGAATGTTAACCACCCTTAGGAAAGGCAGACCAAGCCTAGTGGACAAAGATCAGAGGCCACAGTACATCTTCCATCTAGATACTGCTACAGAGACAGTTAAGTCAGTAAAGATTCTCTTAGATATATTCTACTAAAGAATGGAAAGAGGAAACTACCTCCCCATTGTCGAGCATTCTGTTATTTTCTTCCCAGCACCACTCAATCCTTCCATCACTGAATTTGCAGTTTACATTTCAGAAGCACATGGCCAGCTTCCAAGACTGCTGATGCTACCCATCTCCACCACCGAGGTTAAGCACCCACATGTGATGACACTGAAGGCACCCTCGTAAGTTGGCACTTGAACGAAGCCCTCCTTGAGTGGGGAGAAGACCTAGAACCACTGCATTCTGATGAGTCTCATCCCCACCTGCTTTCCCAGTGGTTTCCTACACTCATATTTCCTGGCCACAGTCAGTTCTAAATGACACGAGGAGTGCCTACCTTTGGCGTTTCTTCTGTTTACTTTGGCTTCCCTGGAATAACCACAAAGATATTTGTTCTTGGTACCTTCATACCTTTTATTTCAGCATCCTTCTTTTCTCACCAGGTGTTCAGGATAGTGCTGGCATTTGAATAAGGAGCTCTAGACAACCTCACACCTTCAGCACACAGAATAAATCTGTCATGTGTGATTCTGCACTGTGAATGGTGTGTGAGAGACAGAAACGGAGATTCTCCCACTGTGGGAGCAGGAGAGGATAGAGAGTATAGCATTCTTCACTATCAGAGCTCTCCAGAGAAACAGAACCAATAGGAGAAAGATAAAGACAGATGATAGATAAATATAGATAATATATTATATATCCTATTGTATATATAAAATCCTACTATATATACATACATACATATATATGATATACCTCACTCTTTTATTTACTTAAGAAACTGACTCACATGACTATGGGGGCTGGCAAGTTTGAAAGCCATAAGGCAGGCTGACAGCTGCAAACTGAGGCTGGAGTTGATGTTACCATCCTGAAGCACAATTTTTGTCTTCTCCATGAAACCTCCATTTTAGCTCTTAAGGCCTTTAACTGAGTGGATGATGCTCGCCCTTATTATTGAGAGTAATCTGCCTTGCTTAAAGTCAGCTGATTGTAAGTGCTAAGCATATTCTACAAAGTACCTTCACAGCAACGCCTCGATTTGTATTTGATTAAGTAACTGGGCACTATGGCCTAGCCAAGCTGACATATAAAACTAATCAGAAACTAACCTTCCAATCTGCTCTGAGACCTAGTTCCCATCTAAAACACCCAAACCTTCTTCTGAAAGGACCACTGCTCCAAAGCACCTTCCCAGCTTCTGGTGAGGCCATTTCCCTGCTTGTGAGGGAAGGAGGGAGGGCAGGAGGGAGAAATGAAAATTTTGTGTCTTTAAAAAGTTCTAGTCTCCTGAGAAACATTCAGAAATGACATGGATAAGGACTTGGCATCTAGTTAAATGTATGTCACCCACAGTATTTCTTCCCTCCAAGGGCAAAAATTAACCCTACTGGTGTTTCAGCAACAGGCCCCCCAACAGGAATGATTTAAGCCTTTTTTTCTTTCATGTCAAAGTGTAGCCAAGTGTCTGCCTTGGCCAAAATGCTCATTCTACTCTCGTAGGTAATGTGTTCTCATGTTCTGGTGACATAAATTTCATATGCACACTATTCAGGCTCTGCCTAATCTAGCTACCACTAAACTGGCAGATGACACAATTAAAATGATGACACGACTTTTTTAAGTGCACATCAGGAAAAGAAAAAAGATTATTACTTTCCCTAAGATATCAATTCTCCTTCCACATTCAACATACAAACAAAGCCTCAAATTATTCATGCTGGATCAATCAAAACTCCCAGTGCCAAAGATGTGCCGATTCAGGTCTTCCTAACCACATTGGTCTGCCCCCTCAGAGGGCCTCTTTCCCTTTATTACCACCCCAAATCAAGGTACATTAAATAGGCTTCCAACACAATTGGGTGATTTGAGTTCACACTTCTAAAACATAAATATCTTTTTCAAATAGCGCTGTAAAAGTAGTTGAGAAGAGTAATTAAAGACTACAAAATAGAATTCTGGAAGCCAGAAGAAAAGAATCAATAAAAGTGCTCTAATTTGAGTCTGGCTTTTTGACTTTCTACTGCCTCGTAATTCAAGTGCTGCCTCCTCAGCTAGATTAAAAGCTCTTTGAGAACACAGGAGACAGCACTTACTTCTTTAATGGCACGATGCTGGGCATTCAGGAAACTAAAGGAAACAACCCCGACTGAATGGAAGAACCAGAATGCTGGAAACCATCATTCTCAGTAAACTAACACAGGAACAGAAAACCAAACACCGCATGTTCTCACTCATAAGTGGGAGTTAAACAATGAGAACACATGGATGGATCACATATCGGGGCCTGTCGGGGGGTGGGGGGCTAGGGGAGGGATAGCATTAGGAGAAATACCTAATGTAGGTGACGGGTTGATGGGTGCAGCAAACCACCATAGCACATGTATACCTATATAACAAACCTGCATGTTCTGCCCATGTATCCCAGAACTTAAAAGTATAATTTAAAAAACAAAAATAGAAATAGACATGGTAAATTTTTCCCTTTAAATTCCAGTATCTAACCTATAATCCTGAAGAATGCTAACAGGACTCTTGGTAGAGTGCCTTCAGGGATCTGCAGATTGAACTGCTTCGAAACACATACTACACTGTGTTATTCAGAACATCAGTACAGTCAAGCAGAACAAACGTGTACTCTCTTCACGTCCTTGAAAGAACCACAAAGGAATAACGGAGGAACCTCATGCTGCCCTAAGGTTTGGCCACCTCTGCAGTAAGAATATAATGAACACTCATTACAATGAATTTGGGATGTGCCCGGCAGTCTTTTCTGAGTTCAAAGTGCTTAATCTCATTAGCTATCACATACCATGTCTAATCCGATGTTCAGTCTTGTGTCTGCTGTATAATTGGGTTCAATGAGTATATTTAACAATACAGCAGGTATTGGCCCCATAGAATAGCTCAGCATCCTTAAATAATCCATTAACTAACTTGGGGATAAAGGGAAAGGAACGAAACCTCACACATTTCCAATAATAGTTTGGAAAGCAAACCAGATCCAAACCCAACCAAACTTCTGGACGTAATGGCATCAATGTTCAGCAACTGCCCTAACTTTCCAAGTAACCTTACACAATAAGCTTTAGATTCATCTGTTCATTCATTTGATAAGCATTTATTTATTGACCACCTACTGTGAACTAGTTGTGCAGTGGTTGATGAGAAACTAATGTCTGTGACAAACTCAGTCCCTGCTGTCACAGAGAGCAGAATCTAGATGACTCTGATAAAAGTATGTAGACCGACCTATTTCATTTGAAAACATAATTTATATTACTTTTTACTTCCTGGAAGCCCAAATTACCTGCAGCATTTTTTATTTGTTCATTCCCAAAATGTAATTCTAATTCTACTTTATTTAATCCTCTCCCTTATATGACAGTGCTGTCCCTTACAGTGCATTATATTCAGTCTAGTCCCATCTACTACTATGACCTTTTCAAGCCGCAATACTGTGAGATTATTTAAGACGAAGGAAAAGCAGAACTTGCAATCACCGATAGCCTGCCATCAGTCACGGACTTTTTTACCTGGACTCATGCCAGCCCTTGTGCTAGGTAAAAACTGAAGCAACTCATATAATCCTCCCAATATTCTTGAAAGTAGGCATTATTATATATCTCTCTGTGGGAGAGAAGACTGGGGCTCAGAGGGGAGAGGTAAACAAGAGAATGGGTCAATAGCAGAATTAGCTTCAACACTGGGCTTACTGACCCAAAGGGCTGTGCTCAGACACTGCATCCTAGGACATCCTACATGTTTAGTCACTTACTGGCTGTGTGGTCTCAGGTATGGTATCCAAGGGCTTTGCACCTAAGCCTTGATTTCATACCCTGTACAAAGGTGAGATAATTGCTGTCAGAAGTGCTATAATTTTGACACACCTGACATATATTAGACACTAACTGATATTCAAAATGCTTCCTGTAGACAGCTGCAAATACCTCCTGATAACAGCAATGCCCCAAGGTGACTGGGCCTTGCAAAGATAGCCAATGCCCCACGGTGACTCTGGCTTGAGAAGAGCCAGAATATTTTTGCTTTGCTGGTAAGGATTTTTTTTGAAGAGATGTTTCCTTTATAAATGCACTTAGAGCTGGTTTGCTCAAACATGTCTTCAGAGGAAATTGTTAAAGCTCAAGTTTAAGACACTGGGCAGGATGCGATCTTGTTTTCCATAAGCAGATGCTGGTTTGTGGGTTTCTGAGACCCTTGAGGAAAGTAGGTGTTATCCTACTGCAACCCCCTTGGCCTAAGCATTTAACTAATCAAGGAAGCGATTTGGGAGGAAGTAAAGGACCCAAATCCAGTTTAAAAGATATATTAGGTCTACAACATTTCAATATAATTATTATTTATTTAGACATCCCACAGGTGCCACGGCTGTGTAATTCTATGTTCTGTTGAGGGCTCAGGAAATGACTGGGGCTTAATGCAGTTTAAACAAGCCATAACAATTTCCCAGACAGAATGCCCACCCCCATCTGTCCTTTCTCTCATCTTAAACTATTCCTTAGGCATAACCACACAACACACACTCCCAGGGAGAAGGCAGGGAAGTGCTCTGTGCATCCATGTACAAATGAGCTAGTTAAAGCCCACAGAGCACTGGTGACTTGTCTAAAGATCACATGATTGTTCAGAATTAAACAAACCGAAGGCAGCAGAATCCACATCCAACCTCAGCCCTCTGAGCCCTCATCCAACATCAGAGCTCGCTGAGCACTGAAGATGTTCAGATCGCCCAATCCACAGAACCGCAAGCACTCTGGGAATGAACACTGAGGCACGAGGGCTGAAGGATAGAACCTAAACACTGGAACTGAGGAAACATGCCTGAAGGAGGTCAGGCCTTGGACAGTGGGAGGGGGTAGGTAAAAAAGAAAGTGACAAGAAAAAAAGATATGAACCAAACCACACATGTAACTCTTGCTTTACGATTATGGAGTCGTACCTGCTGCCCACCTATGGACACCTCCCAGGGATCTAGGAAGTCTCATGTGGGAATTTTTAAAAGTAGGAAGCTGTCATCTGCATCTCTTCTCAGCATACAGTCCAGACCTCCTACCTCCAGTGCTGGTAAAGATTCCTTCCCCTTCTTTTCCTTTTATACCTCTCTTCTGCATTCACCTAATTTTCTGGGTGTTTTATCAGCAACTGTGCAATGGATCGCAAATACCGGAGCTAAAGGCAGTTATCAATCTTGAGATTTACACACTTGAAATAATATGAACCTAAAAGGTAGACTCCAGTGCCATGAAGAACAAAAGTAACACCCCAATGCATTTCCAATTCACATCTGAAATGAGTTTGGTTGTTCCGTTTTGTTTTAAACACCATACATTTGACTGGCATGTTCTTGCCCATTATTTTAAAATATAATTATTGCTTTGGCTTCAATAAGTGATGCCTCAAGTTTACATATCACCTGCTAGATGTAATTTAGTAAAAGGCTGTTTGTCCCTTACTTTGTGATTCTCTGACAATAGCCCCTTGCCACTCACTATTCTTTTTTTTTTTTTTTGAGACAGTCTCGCTCTGTCGCCCAGGCTGGAGTGCAGTGGTATGATCTTGGCTCACTGCAACCTCCACCTCCTGAGTTCAAGCAATTCTCCTGACTCAGCCTCCCAAGTAGCTGGGACCACAGGCGCATGCCACCACGGCCGGCTAATTTTTGTATTTTTAGTAGAGACAGGGTTTCACCATGTGGGCCAGGCTGGTCTCAAACTCCTGACCTCAGGCAATCCACCCGCCTTGGCCTCCCAAAGTGCTGGGATTACAGGTGTGAGCCATTGCACCCAGCCTTGCCATTCACTCTTAAGACCCAAGACCTAGCACAGAGGATGGGTCCTGAGAGACCACACGTACCTCTGTCCGAACATCAGTGTGGACTTGGTCTCAGCCTCATTGAAGACAGAAGGAGAACAGCAAATGACGATGGTGGTTCTGCAGTTCCCACCCAAAGAGTCCTGAAGAATCCGAGTCATCTTGCTGTCCCGGTATGGCACATGTGTTTTCTATTTAGGAAAAGAAAAAGTATTGGTTTTGACAGCCCATTCTGAGAAAAACACAGAGGCAAGCAAGTCAGGGATGAAGACACTGAGCTTAGAAACCGAGTAAAACAAGAATTTGTGGCTGGGTCTTTGGATCTTGCCAAAGTTTAGAATGCCCATTCTTTGACCTATGTCATAGGAAATTAGCATCACCATTCATACTTTTTAGTAGATGGGAACTCCCAGCAAGCAGGCATCCATAGCCAGGATTCCCTCTGTCCTCTTCCAAACAGAAAAACAAACCAGCCTTTGGGGTGTGTGGCAAAGGGACTATGAGGCCCCAAAAGGTGGTTTCTCATAATATTACTTAATAGATGGGGGCAGGATCACTTACTGTCCCTTCTGCCAAAGCAGAGATCACATTTCCAAGAGCAGACAAAGACTTATTGATATTTTTAGCTTCGTCAAGAACAGCTCCCTCGGCACCAGTTTTGCTGACCTACCAGAGAGAAAAGAAAGCAGTGAGCAGCACAGGACGGCAGAAGCACAAAGTAGAAATTTCAAATTCACACGAGGGCAAAGGGGGACAGCCTCCTGGAAAGCAAGGAAAAATAAAAGTAGAGAAGACCCACAGTGATAAAAAACCATCCTTCGTGTATGAGGCTGGGGATTTGGTCTCTCCTGCCATCATTTTCCTCTCAATTGGGTTTTAGTGGAATAGCTGAAATACCTCAAATGGTGGAGCTGCAGATGCTTCCCCAGGGGCCATCCATCCAGGGAAACCAGGCTCCAGAAGTGCTGTCACCATGGGTAGCTCGGGCCCTGGGAGACTGAGCCGCAGTCCCCATGCCGAAGGGAGCCCAGAGGGAAGCATGAAGAGAAAATATTGTCCTGAGCCACAATGAATGGGCATATTGGAAAAATGTAAGTTACGGGCTCCAAGTTCAGGCAGATGACTAGAGGCGGTAGGGTTGGTTATCTAGAGTCCGTTCCTTCCCTACTTATTCTCATAGCAAGGAAAAAATGAAAAATATCCAAAAAGCAAAAAACTTGGGAGAGAAATGAAAAGTCAAATGTATACTGCATCGTAAATTTGTCTTTTTTCCTCTGCAGCCAGAGGGACCATGCATAGTTTCTCCTTTGCTGCGTTATTGCTGGTAATTTCATCTTGACAGCATTTATTCTAGGTAGAGGGCAGTTTACAGATGCTAGAAAAAAGGGAACTCAACATGATTCATGTCTCTGCTGACTGGACAAACGATGCAGGGGGAGCAGCTGCTCTCTCAAGAAAGGAAGTGGGGAAGCAATGTTCAACTACGCAAATTCGAATCACATATAAAGGAGAAACTCCTGATGACAGAAATGAATTCATGTCCAGGGGGAGGTTTCTTTCCAAATAGAATAGATTCTCAACTCCCTTGGACTTGTTTGTGTGGTACCCCTGCTTACACATAGAGAAATCATGTAGCTGATGGGTCACAAATAGTAGCAGTCTATGTTATTTTAAGCACTGTTATTTTAAGATGCTTTCTTATTTGAGCATCTTAACTCCATGAAATATACAAGGCAGGTACTATCTATCACCCTCCTTCGACAGACAGGAAACTGAGCCCCAGAAATGTCAAACTGCCAGCCTAAGGGAAGAACACCATTCAGGGGAGACGGGAACTAAAGCCCAGAGTTCTTTTCTACAAGATCACACTGACACAGTCATATGGACACATCTAGGGCAAAGGAAAACAGGTGTGTGTGAGCAAAAGAAACTACGTGAAGGACATGATTTCAAACACCTCATAAATATCATTAGCAATAACCACTGACACTGTGCAGAGGCAGGCCTCCACTCCAGTCTGTCAGTATTAAGCAGTTTTCAGGTGTATTTAGGCTCTAAATAACAATAATCCTCCATTATTTCCATCTGTTGTACGTCTGTTTAACTAAAGTTACAAGCCCGTACTAGTAAATTTTTTTTTTTTTTTTTGAGACAGAGTCTCCCTCTGTCACCCAGGCTGGAGTGCAGTGGCACGATCTCGGCTCACTGCAAGCTCCGCCTCCCGGGTTCACGCCATTCTCCTGCCTCAGCCTCCCGAGTAGCTGGGACTACAGGTGCCCGCCACCATGCCTGGCTAATTTTTTTTTTTTTTTTTAATTTTTAGTTGAGACACGGTTTCACCATGTTAGCCAGGATGGTCTCGATCTCCTGACCTCATGATCCGCCCACCTCGGCCTCCCAAAGTGCTGGGATTACAGGCGTGAGCCACTGCACCCGGCCCCATACTAGTAAAATTTTAGATTCCCAACTAGAAATACCCGGATGACTTTCTGCTCAGGTTTTACAAATGCATACTAGAGGACAATCCAAGTAACCATTACTCACGTGGATGTAAGTGGCCATAACTTGGCATACGGGAACTCAGTGATGTAGTGCAATAAGTGGGGATCAATCATACAGTTAGGGAGACTGACCAAGCTTCAAGGCTGGCCTTCATGGGGACAATCAGCATGATGTCAGTGATGATGGAGGCCAGAGGGCATTGTGCACATGGCCTTGCTCTATGATGTTGCTCGAGGGAGGTCAGTGCCTCCAGACAGGGTGTGGCAGCAGAAGCCTCCACTGGTGCTATGGAAGTGAGACTGGAGATTCTGGGAAGCCTATTGCTCTGGAGTACAGCCCCAGCCAGGGCCTGGGAGGGCATGGGTCAGGGTGTAGACGACAAAAGAGAATCCGGACAAAACCAGAGAACAGTAAAGGCTTGCCGCTGAGGCTGATTACAGGCCACACTTCATGAGAGAGCCAAGGCCTTCCACATGGGACACCGTCAGCCCATGCCTACTGCTGGGAGAACCAGGGAATGCAGGGAGCGCCCCAGGTTCCAGACCTTCTATCAGCAAAACAAACCTGCAGAGGCAGGACTGCCACATTCCAATGGCAAAGCTCGTTCCTGGCCTATTAGAGTCGGGTACAACATGGGATTTTCTCTTTTCTCAGAAGTTCATATCCCTCCCACATGTGTGCAGCTGCCTCTGCCACAGGCTAAGTCAAACCAACTGTTGCCTCATATCATCATAAGGGCCCATCAGGGATAAATCAGAGTTGGCATGCAAAGCACCTGCCTGTGACACCAATAGGAGACCTCAGGACCAGAAAAGAAAGCAGGGACAAAGGGTTAAATGTAATAACACCTTGGCAGAGCCTCAGAAACTTTAAAAGCTCTTTAAAGCAGGAAAATAGAAAAGCATAAAAATTATACCATGCACAATGAAGCAAATAAAAGGGGAAAATTATAGATAATACAAATAAAGAACAAATTACCTTTTCGCTCCCAGCCAAATCAACCAAATAAAGTTTCCCACTGAGTTTTTTTTCAGTCTCTACATTCTCTTGTTTAATATTTATCAGGAAGATACTGTGACTTCTAGAGCTGTGTTCATTCATGTCTGAAAAGGAAAATAGTTTACTGCTCTACAAAGAACATGTAGGTTTAGGTAGCAATCCTCTCATTTAAAAAGCATAACAAGTCATGCCTAATAGATCCATTTCATTGAAGTAAGTCCAGTCAATTCTAAAAATTATCTGAGACCCCTGTTTCTTCTGAAAAACAATGCTCATTCTAGAAATACAAGATTTTAAATGTCTTCAAGGAGCAAAGAAGTTAATCTAAAAATCTTAGTCAACAGTTTAAGATATCAGATTTTCTAGCTCTACCTGAAGCCCCATCCTCTAAATTCCTACTCCAGCATGACTTTCCCCTTGAAGAATTCACTACCTCCTCCCCTGCCTCACTTTAAATTCCTCAGACTTCATCATGATTAATACATGATGTAGTCTATCTTAGTCATGTGCATAAGCCTTGCCTTATCAGTAATATCATAAGCTTTCTTAAGCAAGGATTAAGACTTTCCTAAGGAAGGATTAAGACATACACTTCTACAACCTATGCTAACAGCAAAGAAGGTTTCAAAAATTAAATATGCTTCATTAAGATGGGGTACTGGAAATAAAAATCCTTGCAAATCCTCGTCTTTGTCTGCCAAGCAGACAGAGACCCCAGCAACCATCCCATTCAGCCTTCACCAGCAATCATTTCTCAAAACCATCTTACCAGATTATATGTAAAAAGCCCTAAAGATTCATTTTTAAAAAACTGTTAGAACTAATAATTAATTCAGCAAAGCTGTAGGATACAAAATCAACATGTAAAAAATCAGTTGCATTTCTATATACTAACAATGAACAACCCAAAAAATTAAGAAAACAACCTTATTTATAATAGCAAAAAAAGAATAAACTACTTAGGAATAAACTTAACCAAAGAAGAGAAAGACTTGTACACTGGAAACTACAAAACATGACTGAAAGATATGAAAGAAGACACAAATAAAGGGATTGATTGAAAGACTTAATATCATTAAGCTGTCAGTATTACCCAAAGCAATCTACAGATTCATGGCAATCTCTATCAAAATTTCAATGACATATTTTATAGAAGCAGAAAAATCCATCCTAAAATTTATATGAAATCTCAAGGGATACCAAATAGCCTAAACAATCTTGAAAAATAAGAACAGAGTTGAAGGTCTCACACTTCAACAATATAATGGACTTTGGGGACTTGAGGGGAAGGGTGGGAGTAGGGTGAGGGATAAGAGACTACAAATAGGGTGCAGTGCATACAGTTCGGGTGATAGGTGCACCAAAACCTCACAAATTAGCACTAAAGAACTTACTCATGTAACCAAATACCACCTGTACCCCAATAGCCTATGGAAAAATAAAAAATAAAAGTTACTACAAAGCTACAGGAATCAAAACAGTGTGGTATTGACATAAAGACAGACATATAAATCAACAGAAGAGAATAAAGGGCCCAGAAATAAATCCTCACATATATGGTTGAATAATTTTCAACAAGAGTGTCAAGACCATTTAATGTGGAAAGAACAGTCTTTTCAACAAATAGTGTTGGAAAAACTGGATAGCTACATGCAAAAAATATATTAATGTTGGGCCCTTACCTTAGAGTACATGCAAAAATTTACTCCAAAAGGATCAAATACCTACATATAAAAACTAAAACTATAAAACTCTTAGAAGAAAACACAGGAGAAAAGCTTCATGACATTGGACTTGGCAATAATTTCTTGGATATGACACCCAAAGCACAAGCAACAAAATAAAAATAGACACTTCATCAAAATTAAAAACTTTTATATCAAAAGACACTATCAATAGTGTAAAAAAGCAATCCATGGAATAGAAGAAAATTTTATAAATCATATATCTAATAAGGGATTGATGTCCAGAATACATAGAGAACTCCAAGTCAACAACAACAAATTAACCTGATTAAAAAATAAATACAGACCTTGAATAGACATTCCTCAAAGAAGATATACAAATGGCCTATAAGCACATGAAAAGATGCTGAACATCACTAATCATTAGGGAAATGCAAATCAAAACCACAATGAAACAGCACTTCACACCATTTGGATGGCTATTATAAAAATAATAACAATAACAAGTGGCAAGGATATAGAGAAATGGAAACTCTGATGTACTGCTGTTAGGAATAGAAAATGGTACAGCTGCTATAGAAAATCGTAATAATAGCAAATAGTAGCGGTTCCTCAAGAAATTGAAAGTAGAATTACCATGAGATCCGAAAATTCCACTTCTGCATATATACTCAAAAGAATTGAAATCAAGGACTCAAATAGATGTTTGCACACCTATGTTCATAACAGCATTATTCACAACTGCCAAAATGTGGAAGCCACCCAAGCGTCCATTAATGGTTAAACGAATTTTTTAAATGTTGTATATACATACAATGGAATATTGTTCAGCCTTAAAAAGGAAGGACACTTGCTACCACATGGATGAAACTTGAAGACATTATGCTAAGTGAAATAAGTCACAAAAGGACAAACACTTTATGATTCCACTTACATGAGGTACCTAGAGCAGTCAAATTCATAGAGATAAAGTAGGTTGAGCAAGAGGAGAATAAAGAATTGGTGTTTATTGGGTACAGAGTTTTGGTTGGAGAAGATAAAGTTCTAGAGATGGAAGGTGGTGACATTGCACACATTGTGAAGGTACTTAACATCACATAAATGCACACTTTAAAATGGTTAAGATGGCAAATTTCATATTAAGTATATTTTATTGCAATAATAAAGAAAAACCTTACCAGAATGATAAGAATAATAGCAATTTTTTTTTAGATTAGCAGTTCCAAACCAAGGCATCAAAATGGATTATCAGGTATGCCATAAATAATTTGTGATTAAAAACAGCTTCAGAAACAGAGTGAATAACGTAAATGAGAGATGCTACTACTATAAGAATATCTGTCTTACATTCTTTCAGGTATGTGTGCATGTTTTAAGCAAGAGAAAAAGAAGTGGAGCTTGACCAACATTTCATCCAGGAATAGGCTCACCTATGAAAGTTGCTATATACATGAATATCATCTGATACATTGCTCAGATAGAGAAAATGTTGAGAATTACAGTTCTGGACCACAGAATCAGAGAGTCTTGGGTAGAAGAGACTTAAAGAGCCTAGACCAGTCAGGAAACCAATGCCTGAATCTCTTTTACAACATAACAGTGAACTCACTACCTCTCTAGGTAGCAGGCAGCACTTGGGGCAGCTATAAGGGTTGGAGAGTTCTCCTCACAGGGGTCGAAATCTGCCTCCCTAGAGCTCCAACAATCATGGGTATTCTAAGTATTGAGATGGAACAGAACAAGCTGACCCTCTTTCTTAGTGTCAGCACCTTCAACACGGTAAGATATATTACATTGTCCACACACCCTCCTCCAGATTTTTTTCCCTCATGCAAGCTATAAACCCTTAGTTCTCTCAGCTTCTGTTCATATGAACTCACTGTCATTTGTCCACATCCCTCTTAATAAGATAGACAACTGTCTTTTTTCACGGATCCTCTGCTGCCCAAATCCCATATGCACTGCTTCCCTCAGATGCAATGAACATACTGAGGAAGGAACTGCAGAGCCAATGAGCCGATCTGAATGTGTCTGCTAGTAACATATCGGAAGGCTTTCCCTAAAGCTCCTGGCTCTGCTTTCTGACTTCCTTCTTCCCTTTCTTTTTCTTTTTTACAGAAGGCAGAAATCCAACATGGTTTATTTCCATGTGTGTGACTGCAACATATTATAGAATTTGTTGGTTTGGAACTTTTTTTTAACCTGAACAATAACATGATCAAAATAAATAAACTGATGAGCTTACTCTTTCCCTCCCTTTGGTTGGCTGGTTGTTTATTTTTCCTAATGTTCAGGCTTAGGCTGTTATCAGGGTCCAGTAAGTCTCACCCAATATCTCCAAGACCTCAGAGTCCTGTGGACAGCAGAAGGCACCCTTTCCCATGACTGCCTAGACATACTCATAGCACACATACCCTGGCGTCTGTGTCCGAGCACTGCTCTTTAATCACCTTCCCATGCATTCTTTCATTTGTACCTAATTCCCCACCCCCCTCGGTTGGTGGGCAGATATCTGTCTCCCAAGCTGCAGGGGAGGAAACACCCCCACCATGCTTACTTGTCACAGCCACGTGTCGGTTTGCTTTGCCTTCATCTATTACATCCATGACTTCCTCAGGGCTCGACACAAACCGCTCAGTGCACCCCTGGAAGAGAATCAGTTCAGGTTCACCACTGAAAGAGTTGAAAAGCAACAATATTTTGAAAGGCTGAAACATTTTCCTGTTTATCTTCTAGAGGTGCAGATAAATAGAAAGGCTGAAATATCGATCCAACAACTTTTCCTCCTTGCCCAGGGCTTGAATTCTACATTAAAGAGAAGTCTGAGCAAGCCCTAGGAAATATAGACGTAAACCAAAAAAAGAACTGTCAAATTTTCCTAGGTTTTTGAGTACATATTCATACTGAACAGCAACACTTTAAGAAGACAGAAAATCAAAGAAGAAAATCAATGAGAGAAGAAGAAATGGATGAAGTTTTGCTTTGCCTTCTATCTTTATTTATTTATGATCATGGCCACCAATATTAGCTACTTTGATGTTCCACAGATAATGCTATAATAGGCGTTACTGCAAAGTAAAAACAGTTGCACTCAATATCAAAATCTCTTTAAATGTGAACAATATTAAATAATAATGTCATAAAGGAAAGATACAATTGAAGAAAGTAAATGTCAATTTTTAAAACCAGATGAATATTAAATATAAGGAGCCTGAATAAATGCCTATATGCTCTTTACAGATAATATTCTGCACATCTTATGTAATAATTATTATGACAGAGACTGGAGAGAAATTAATTGCATCACCAATCAAATCTTCCTCATACCTTTACATACGGGACTCTGTTTTTATCTTCATGAACAGCCAAGTTGGTCTTGGATACTAAAAAGATGAGAATGACAGCAGGCAAAGAAGAAAATAAAAGTTAAAGACTCTATATTGGAGGAAAAATGGAAGTTTGTTACAAAGACAGTCAAATCTAATCTCTTTGCAATATGCAAGTTTAAGCCTTGGCTGAGAATAAACATATACCCTGAAGGCAACAGAGTATCTCTATAAATTTTCATTAATTCCTTAAGCAGAAGTGTGATAAACCATTTCAACCTCCCCGGACTTTCGTTACAGAACAAATAAAGGACAAGCACTGAGGTTACTTACCATCAAGTAAGTCCCTTATTTTGTCCAAGTAGATCTCAAAATAGGAAACCTAGTTAAAAACAAATTGAGCTTGGAATAGACATGCCGCAGTGTATTTCAAAAATGCCATTATTAGTACTTATGAAAGCTTTCATCATGCATGGCTAAGAAGAGTAAGAAGAGGGGTTCAAAGTGAAGACTTAAAATCTGGCCAGCTCTACTGGGATTCCCCTACTTCCCGCTTGCTCTACGCTTCCCTAAGTGTGGACCACTCTCCACCTACACACATCACAGCTCCCTTTGGTTGTCATTCAAGTGTTCTTAACATCATGTGCTAGACACTTACAGGAGGACTCTAGGCTTTAAGTTAGATGAGCACCAAGCACGCTTAGAAAACACTCAGTAGGCCTCACCTTATTGCATGATACTGACAGTATCATGAAGGAGACTTAGCCCAAATGTTCACATGCAAGAAGCCAGGAGAGGGCAAGGGCAGTGTGTTTAGAACTACAAGAGCTCAGAAAGGTAACTGAGCAAGAGCTGGTAATGGTGGCCAGCTCTGGTGCATCCAGGAAAGATCTGAACAAAATGGGACTTGATAAAAGATGGTTAGACTGTGAGAAGAAAAGGAGGCCTTCCCATTAGTCTCAAGGCTCAGCCACAGCACCACCTTCATCAGCATCACCTAAGAACCTGTTTGAACTGCAGAACCCTGAACCCTACTACAGTCCTGCTGAATCCGAATCCCAGATAAAAGGAACTAGGAATCTGGTTCTCAGTTGCCCAGGCGATTCTTATGCTGGCTGATGTCTGAGACCTGCTTTAACTAAATATGTGGTCTTAGGGACTCAATTCACACATAACCAAGACCCTAGGCCTCAATTGTACCATCTGTCACATGAAGCCATAGGGCTTTACGATGTCAAAAATCCCCCTCTAGGATTCTGTACTCTGTTTACATCTGCTGTCTGCCTACCCAATAAACTTATCTGCCCTATGTTCATAAGTGCTTTTGAAATCTAAACAAGGGAGTGGGCAGAAAGGAAAACAGTTGTAAAGTTGTAAAGCTGGGATGTGACTACTCAGGTAAAACCTCATCCCTACATCCCAGCTCTGGACCAGTCAAGGGGAAGCAAAGACTCTAACCCAGCACTGGTCCCAGCTCTGACTCAGCCCTGATCCATTATCCTTAATGTGCCTCGGTCTGGAACTACCTGACTGGAACCATCCCAGCTACTCTGAGATGTGGGGTCCTAGCTTGAGCCCTGGAATCCACTGCTGGGCATCTCTCCTGGCTGCCTGTATCCCTAGCAACATCTGCCTACTTGAACACCTGTCAGACTTCCCTGTCCCTGAGGCCCATCTCTCATGGACACACTTATGTGACATTTGAAAGACTCACGCCTACAGCTTTCTCTAATCTTTCATGCTGCCACACTCCCCACATCCTTATGGGTCTGTCTGACCTCCAATCCTGGACATCTCTAACCCAGTCCTTCCTGCAGCCAACTCCACCCTGGTTCAGCGCATTCTATTTATTTCAGAATTGTCTGATGTTCATTAAGACTTGTCTATTATTTTTGAGATCTTAAACATATGGCCTTATTTCCATAGATTACAGAGAAAATTAATTACATCTAAAAAAAAGTCACAAACTAGATACTGGCAAATCTGGCAATTAGAATCATATTCACATTTAATGTAAGTAGAAACAGGATTCTGATTTCATTAATTTCTGCTTTTGGTGTGTGTGCGAGGGTGGTGATTTTGTTGTTTTGTCATTTAAAATACTTTGTGAGACTAGGCGGAAGAAAAATAAATAGGCATTGTTTGGCATTAAGAAATAGGACGTTCAGAAATAAAGTTTAAAACCTCTGTGGGACTCATTTAAGGAGCAGATTTTCGATATTGCCTTAGTCAGTCCTCTTTTTCTTGATTTAGCCTCTCACTATCCGGTTCAGAATACAAAGTAGTCAGCAACTAATTTGCCCACTTATTATTTATAAAACAAGTAAGCATAAGTACAAATGCAACACAGAAATCCAGACTGTAAAATTCAGCCCTAGAGACTTAAGAGTGTTGTTCCTCTCCTCCCCTAACTTCATGCTAGGGCTGTTTTTATCTTAATAAGATTCTAACACAAGACCCTATTTTGAGGGCAGTAATTGGTTTAACATC
Source organism: Homo sapiens (assembly GCF_000001405.40). Lineage (NCBI taxonomy): Eukaryota > Metazoa > Chordata > Mammalia > Primates > Hominidae > Homo > Homo sapiens. Next base: position 5,432 of record NW_003571033.2, on the reverse strand, counting down.
TTATTCCAGGATTATCACATAAGAACCCTGCAGTAGTTTAAGCTATTTAAATGCAAACAGCCCTAAAGAAGCACTAAGCTTCTAAATCTTGATCCCATCAAAGCAACAAGCTTCTGTATCCTTAGATATAAAGAACCTTGGCAAGAAGGAGAAGCAGGCTTTAGCCAACAAAAGGAATCCTAAGGAAAAGTGATTTGCTAGATGTAATTTATAGTTGGGCAAACAGTTGGTGCCTTCTTTTTATGTCATTTACGAAAGGTATACAGTAGTAAGGGGAGAAGTTTAATATAATTGAAAAGGTATCGCATGTGCGGTTGGTCAGACCTAGGGTCTATTCTTAGTTTTATCAATAACTTGGTGTTTAAGTTGGGCCTTGTAACTCTGCGTCTTTTTTTTTTTTTTTTTTAAGACAGAATCTCTCTCTGTCGCCCAGGCTAGAGTGTGGTGGAGTGATCTCAGCTCACTGCAACCTCTGCCTCCCAGGTTCAAGTGATTCTCGTGCCTCAGCCTCCTGAGTAGCTGGGATTATAGGCACACACCACCATGCCTGGCTACTTTTTTTGTATTTTTTTTTTTTAGTTGAGACAGGGTTTCACCATGTTGGCCAGGCTGGTCGTGAACTCCTGACCTCAGGCAATCTGCCCGCCTCAACCTCCCAAAGTGCTGGGATTACAGGTCTGAGCCACTGTGCCCAGCCTAACCCTGCATCTTTAAACTTCCGTTTCCTCATCTCTGAACAGATGGGCCTGGTGCACTAAGATCCCAGCCTGAAGGGAAATCTCTTAGCAGATCTGCTTAGCGAGGCTTCTTAGAACTGCCCCTTCACCCTCCCCAGCCACAGTGGGGGCCCCCAGACAGCATGTGCATCCTGGACACAGCTCATCGGGCAAGGGGGGCACCTATGTAGGCTGGGCCAATGAGTCCCTGCCCAAGGGAATTTAGAGTTGGAAATAAGGGAATGGTGGAGCAGCAGCTGCCATGTTGCCAACCCCTTCTCCCACCAAAAAGAGAGAAAGATGCTCCAGAACAAGAGAAAGAAGTCAAGCAAGGGGGCAGAAAAGCAGGGACTGTAACAGGTTTGGGGTTTCTTTTGGAGGTGACGATATGCTCAAGAATTAGGATAAGGATCATCATTGTACACTTTTGGGAATATATTAAAAACCATCAAACTATACACTTTAAAAGGATGAATTTTGCGGTATGTGAACAATATCTCAATTGTTTAAAAAGTTTAAAAAGAAAAACAGGGCTTAGATTTCCTGCCCTCCACACTTCATCCTCCACAAAATGCCCACTGTCAGATTCTGTATCTTATAAACAATATCCTCTATTTGCTTAAACAAGTGCCTTTCAGCCACTTGCAAAAGAGGTGTTCCAATGAATATACCCTACTATCAAATTTGATTATTTAACAGCTACAGTAAGAGAGTAGAAATCTCTCTTTTAATGCCAATTTAAGTCATATAACAAGTTTTGGTTTAAAACAAAAACAAAATACAAGGGGGAAGATAAAAAGGAAGAGAATTCCTCTTCCCAACATTTCTCAGAGTTCTGCTCTGTGACACTCTGCTCAAAACACAAGTCTGTGATACTCTTAGGAGGAGAAATGTGTCTACATTCAAATAAGCTGGGAAATGTAATCTAATGCATGTCCCCTTTGCAGAGCATATTGAAACCTGTGATAAACTTAACACTGTTCAAGAAAGCATTTTCCCAGCTCATTTGGCCTTACAGCCCTTTTCCCTGCTAGCCCACCATTAATAACACAAGGGACTGTGTTCCACAGAACACACTTTGGAAAATGCTGCCCTAACCCAAACACAAACACATTTCAGTCATACCCACAGAAATCCAGAGGATAAAGGGTAGAATTTGGGCAACAATCAAGATGATTTCCTCCTAAAGAAGGCTTTTGCTTTCATTATGTGGATATTTCAAGCAAACCCTCCAGACACCTGTTAGCCTAGGTCACTAATAAAGAGGGCTCTGCTTACCACAAGAATGTCATTTAAATTAGTAGGATCATCTTTTATATCTTCTTGAAAGGAGGAGGTATAAGAAACGTTATCTGGGGCCCAGTGTCTTCTCTGGGGACCAATCAGTAATACGTACCTTTATGTGAAACTCCAGGTTCTCATCCATGGAGTAGATATGGTCAAAGATATCATGGGCAATTCGTGGGATGATCCCCATGAGCTGGGGGTCATGCAGCTTCCCCTAGTGGGCGAAAATACAAACACGGGCAGTTAAAGCATGCTGGGAGACACATGAGAGAGAGGGAGAACCATCTCTGGGTTCCTCAGACAGAACCCGGTGGAGCAGGAAGCACCCACGTGTGCCTGCCAGCTCCCTTGGGCATCTACCTGACTTGCCAACAGACCAGAAGTTGGTGGAAAAACTCATTGTGTTGGCCTGTTTATCCAGCAGGGGAGCACTTGTTCTGCCAAGTTCTGAGGCCCCACATTATTGCCTCCAGCTGCCACTCAAGGAAACAAAATCAGAGTCTATGTGGCTAGTGTGGGGTGAGGAGGAGGAGGAAAAGGGAGCAGGAGAAGGAACGAGAATATATGGGTTTGGGTTTTGAGTATTTACAAACTGACCTGAGCCTGGAGTTCCAAGTAAGGCAATCTTGTTTAATGAAATCACCTCTAGAACTGATTTCCAAAATTTTCCAAAATTTCTAAGAACCTTATTCTGGCAACACTTTCAGTATCATTTAACAGATCAATCAAGAAAATACATTTCATCAACTTCTTTTAAAAATCTGTGGTTCCCAGGCCAAATTGTTCCAAATAATTTTTAGCTGTTTCTAATACCTAAATCCATGTTTAAGATCGTCTTATATTCTTCTTTCCCCGCTTTTCTACTTTACTCATTTCACCTAAGTGGGTGGGGATAGGGATAGGTAAATTCTTCTGCTATTTGGATATTACCAAATCCATTTTTAAGGTCCAGAATTTGCCACCCCTGAAGATTTTAGAAAAGATGCCTTAGGATCTGACAGCAACTCCTAATGAAGACTTCCAGAAGTATTGAAAGCAACACACAAGCTCCAGAGAGCCTTTGCCTAAGCCCACCGTCAAATAAGCACTTAAGTTCTCATATGTGTTCAACAATCCATCAGTGAACAAACACACAGTCTGCAGGTTTAAAGTGATCAGTGCCAACAACACATCCAGAGATTTTCCAGATTTTTTGTTTGTTTGTTTTTGTTTTTTGAGACAAGGTCTCACTCTGTTGCCCAGGCTGCAGTGCAGTGGTGCAGTCTTAGCTGACTGCAACCTCCACTTCCCAGGCTCAAGTGATCCTCAGCTTCCCTAGTAGCTGGAACTACAGGTGTGCACCACCGCAGCTGGCTAATTTTTTGTATTTTTTGTAGAGATGAGGTTTCGCAGTGTTGCCAAGGCTGGTCTCCAACTCCTGAGCTCAAAGTGATCCACCCACCTTGGCTTCCCAGAGTGCTGGGATTACAGGCATGAGCCACCACGTCCGGCAGTCTGGCCTCCAGCAAAGCTCTCTCATCCGGAAAAATGGATACTCCTCTGGAATGCCCTTATCTATTAAGAATCTAAATAGTTTGATGTATTGCTCTTGTTTTTTAGTTTGACTGCATACTTCCTAAAGATAGGGATGGCCAGTGCATGTATATTTCTCTCCATTGCTTACAAGATTTAGTATTTATTACATAGAATTATTGTAGAATTCAAGTTAAATAGGATATATAAAGTGCTTAGTGACATGAGAAGGGCTAAAATAAATGTTAGTATTATATCACTCAGCTCACAGCAGGTTTTCACGAAGAAATTATTGCAGTTTATTTCACCTGAAGAGACTGAAACACATTTCTATCCCTGACAATTAATATATATCTTAGGAAAGAAAACAGTGCCAAATGACTGACAATCTCAAATCTTGATAACTTTTAAACTGTACATTCCATCATAAATGTGTAACAAATTAGACAATGGACCTCCACATGCTCTGAACCATGGAGATCATTGGCAGAAACAATACCTATGGTGAGAACATCATTTCCATCTGGCCAAATGTCATGACTCCACTCAGCCAATCAAAAGACCTCCCCTACCAAAGCCCTCCAGAGCTTTTTAATAATTCATGATAATCCTTTAGCTTCTCCTCAGTAGCCCACAGCCAGAGAAGAACGATTGATAATCCAAAAATCATTTATAATTGACTCAAATCTATTTTCCTAGATGCTTTCCCTTTCAATGGATTTATCTCCCCATTGATTCCTGGCTTATACAAGTGCTGACATCTCTTTGTTTGCCTTTGTCAGGGCAAGAACCAAGGCAGAACGAGAGATGAATCTAGGACACTCTCTACTTTGTGTCTCTCTGAAGTCCTCACCCTAAAATCAATGTGAGAAAAGTGAGTGTTCTCATAATAATGCCTCCCATCCCCACAGGAACAGAAGCATACCCACATCTACCACAGGCCTAGGAGCTGGGCTGCTTGATCCAGCTCAGATGCCCAAGAGTGGTAAGGGCTTTATGTGCAGCAAACTGGGCCTGCCGAAACAATCTGCAGGTGTGTGTACGCAGGGGAGGATGTAGGGGCATGTGGAGTGTGCACGTGTGTGTGTGTGTGTAGTGTTAGGGGAGCATATGGATGTGTGATGTGTGTAGTATATGTCTGTGTGTGATATACGTGTGGGGTGTGAGGGCTACGTCTGCGTGTGTGGGGGCGTGTGATGTATGTGGAGTATTACATATATGTGTGATGTGGGGGTTATATGTGTGTGAGATGGACGTAGGGAATGTGTGCAGGTATGTGCTATAGCGTGAATGTAGGAAGTGTGGCGAGTGTGGGGGTGCTTGTGATGTGTGTGGCTGTGTGGCATTCTGTGGCGTGTGTGTATTGTATATGTGTGATATGTGGTGTCTGTGTCTGTATGATGTATGCAGAGTGTGTGTGTGTGTGTGTGTATGCGTGTGTGTTGTGTGTGTGATATATGTGGGTTCTGCCTGTATGTGTGCATGTATATGTGGGGGGTGTCTCTGTGTGTGTGGTGTGTCTGTGTGTGTGTATGTAGGGGGTATGCCATACAATGTGTGGTATCTGGTATATGGTATGTCTGTGTGTGTATGATGTATGTGGGGGTGTGGTATATAGTGTGTGGTATGCGTGTCTATATGGATGTGTGTGATGTGTACATCTCTGTATGTTTATGATGTTATGTAGGGGTCATGTGTGGTATATAGTGTGTGGTGTGTGGTGTGTTTGTATGTGGTGTGTATATATCTGTGTGTATATGTATGATGTATGTGGAGGGGTGGTATGTGATGTGTGGTGTGTCTGTGTGTGCATATGTGTGTGATGTGTATATGTCTGTGTGTGTATGATGTATGCGTGTGCAGTATGTTATGTGGTGTGTCTGTATGTGTGTGATATATATGTCTGTGTGTGTTTAT